>NC_000002.12:51705503-52008534 GCF_000001405.40 Homo sapiens
TTACGGGAATGGAACACTGAGTCAAGAGCCATGTTAGTTCAACATTTGCCACCCACCCTCTTCCTGCATATCTGTGTTTATAATCTTCATTGATTGTAGTTCAAATTTGCTGACAGAGGATTTTGTTGCTCTTAACTCCCCTAAATTTCTCATCCTATTTTAGTTCATCTTCTACCTCTAGAACTTAGAACAGGAGAAAGTAATTGATGTGCTACATAACTCACTGCTTTTGAGTGAATGGTTGACAGTCAAAAATGTACTGATTTTTACTAACAACAAATCACTGCTCTGTATCTTGTGGAAAAGCACAGCTTCTTTCAAGAATTTACCATTAAATGGTAGGAATATGGTGGAAGAGAAAGACTTAATAGACATAAAAGTTAAAATTGTTTCAGTGATTATTATGTGAAAGTTATCAAAATAATTATGGAGATCATTACATAAATGTGTAATTCACTGCACTACAATTAGAAATTATATATACAGGAAATATAATTTTTAATGCAGGAAAGATACAAAGACCATTTAGAATTTCAAAATAAAGTGAGGTGGCTGTGGGTTAGGTTGAAAGAGAATGAGAAGTGATTTGAGGTTGGCCTTGAATTACAGATAAGAATTAGGTGATTAGGCTGGGGGAGTATAGGTTGATATAGACATTTAGATAAAGATGAACTGCAATTAAAGGTGTTTAAAAAAAACCTGTGGGTAAACATCATTTGAACATACAAAAATATGAAGCAGACCATGTTACAACCATCTCTATGAAAAAAGCATAAGTCAAGCACTGAAGGGAATTTGAAAAAGGAGAGTGATGTAAGCTAGACTGGATGAGAATGAAAAGATCCCATCCATGAACAGTACATGACTTAGATAGAAACACATTGGTAGTGCTAGAGTCAAATGATACTCAGCAGTTTGCGGCTGACTGGACACCCTGTTCAATCCATCTCCATAGAGACACAGACGTGTTGCACTGATTAACTGAGTAGGGTGTCATATTTCTATGATTTAGATCCTCCAAAAGTATACTCTCAAGTTCGGGGATTTATGCAGCATTTAATTCTAAATGGCCCATTCAGAAGCAGAAAAAACAAATGAGCATCAATTTAACTGAGAAATTTAACCCGAATAACTGAAAAATCACCAAGTGGCAGCTCTGAAATTCTGTAATTCTAATATTCGATCTAAGGAGAAGAATATAGAAGTGTACCAATAAGATGAAAGTAATCTGGGAACACAGGGTTAGGTAAAAAATGTAGATATGGACATTTATATTAGAGTTAAAATATCAAGCATCAATAGAGAATTACAGTTTTTGTAGAAAGTAAATTTCAAGATTAATGTGAAAAAATCTGATTTTGATATGTAACAGGCTTTGTACAATTGCTGTAAGGGGCAGATGGTTCTACAGTTTTTATTTAGCAATGATGCTCACAAATCAAAATGCAGATAAAACTCCAACGCCATTTTTGACACCCTATTCTTCTAAATCTTAATTAGACATAAAATCAGTGGTTATAACTTGTGGATTAATTTGTAGATGTTGTGATCATCCTTTGGGAACTTTATGAAAGGACATGTGGAACATCATGTATTAAGTATTAAATAAAGCTTTAACCACACTCTAATGTGATTATGCCACTGAAATCCAGTTGAAAATTTTGGATATAATATCTAACATCAAGAAATAAACTTTCAAGTACGAGACAAGTTAGTGAGCTATATGATTAAAGGAGCCACTAAATTGCATTTTCAGATTATTTCAGATTTTCAGGTGAAAAAAAATGACTCCTAATGTTCAATGGTATTTTTATTTTACATCCACTAACAGAAATACAATTTACATTGTTTTTGAAGAGCAGAGACACAATGTTCATTTGTTCAGCATGACAGGGTTCAAACCAGAGATTTTATTTGGAAATTCCATAATATATTTACTTTACATCTCATTGCAGAATTTCTCTCTTACAAATCCATTATTTAAAATATGCATGTCTACTCTGAAAATTTCCATAATATCTTAAAGGTTAATCTTTTTCATCCTTAGGATGGAATGATTAGAGTTGATGCCCTGCCTAACCTTTTATCATTACTTATGGTTGGGGAGATAAGTTAGTCTCTGTGTGAACACCAGTATTTTATTTCCGAAAACATGAAGCAGTCAGCGGAAAGTATAAGGATAAGAGTTTTCTAGGTAAAGGGAGTGGCTTGGGCAAAGACCCAGTAGAAAGAAAGGTCATCCCAAGTTCATTTACATAGAATTCAAAGTTCCAACTGGGGAATGAAAAGAGATGATATTGGAAGAGGAACAAAGAAAATCAAATCCCTCCCCTCCCCCTCCCTTTCCTTCCCTCCCCTCCCCTCCCCTCCCCTTCCCTCCCCTTCTCTCTTTCTCTTTTTCTTTCTTTCTTTCGTTCTTTCTTTCTTTTCTTTCTCTCTTTCCTTTCTTTCTTTCTTTCCTTTCTTTCTTTTCTTTCTTTCTTTTTCTTTCTTCTTTCTTTCCTTCTTTTTCTTTTTTTCTCTCTCTTCCCTCTTTCTCCTATTTTCTTTCCTTCCTTCTTTTTCTCCTTTTTTCCTTCTTCCCTCTTCTTATACTTCCCTCTCCTTCTTTCATTCAGTATTGTTTGTTTTGCAGATTAACAAGCATCCCTACCAAACCCTGTCTTGAAGCATCCCTACCAAACACTATCTTGAAGTCAAATAATTAGCTGTCATCTTTATCTTTGTGGGATCATGGGATCCCCTAAGATCCTTATTAATGAAATTGCTTCTCATTTTATTCTTTGCCTGCTCTCTTGCTCTTTCACCTAAGTGTGATTTATATACAGAAAAGTAATTGAAAACTATCTGGTCTTGGTCAATTTGAAAAGAGTTTTTCTGTATTTTATGAGATATTTGCAGTTGACCAAGCTTCTTCTATTAGCAAGTTCTCAAGTCAGTTTCCTGTAGATGGGATTTAGTTCTGTTCTGTAACAATGCACACTGAATTTCTCATTTGCCCTTAAGCTCCTTGGCCCAGTGACATACCACTTTAAGTTTAATCAGACAAAAAAATCACAAAAGCTCCCAGTCTCGAGTGACCACTGACCTTTTGTCCTGAAAGCGTGAAGAGAAGAAATTTTCCTTTTTTGTGAAGTTTGTGTGAGACTCACTACATACCTGTGTGCCGTGTTTATTTCAAATTCATTGTGACCCAAGTTAATGCTGTCTCTGTCAGTTGGAAAACCAGCACTATGCTTTGTTGCCACTATAAACAATCCTTTCTAGTAGCTACCTCCCTGAGTGTACAATTTTCATCACAATTTTTTTGAACAGAGTCAAAGAAGATATGATAAAGACTCAGATAACTGCTTACTAGGGCTTGACTAAATAACTTATTTATTAAAGCCATAGTTCTTTAGCAACAAGTGTTTTTAAGACAAGGTGGCAAACTTCTCCTCTCATTGGGACATGGAAACCTCTGTGTCCTACCGCTCACATTATCCCACCTGCATGTGATTGATCTTTTCAGTTCATAATACAACACCCCTAAAGACGGGCTAACTTTTTCTAATGTTTACATTGGTTAGATGAAATCATGTGAAAATGTAGAACCATGTCTTTTTTTTTTTTTTTTTTTTGAGACACAGTCTCGCTCTGTCACCCAAGCTGGAGTGCAGTGGCACAATCTCAGCTTATTGCAACCTCCGCCTCCCAGGTTCAAGCAATTCTTGTGCCTCACCCTCCCAAGTAGCTGGGATCACAGAGGTGCACCATCACACTCAGCTAACTTTTGTATTTTAGTAGAGATGGGGTTTCGCTATGTTGGCCAGGCTGGTCTCGAACTCCTGATGTCAAATGATCTGCCCGCCTCAGCCTCCAAAAGTGCTGGGATTACAGGTGTGAGCCACTGCACCCAGCCTAGGATCACGTATTATGAATATGTAGCTTCTTTTTATCTCTTCTGATGTTGCACCCTAAATACTTTTGATTTTCAGAAGTTAGTGAGCAGGGAAGCTAGTATCTGTATGATTACACAGAGCCCAAGTATAGAACATATGATGGGCAGCGAGACATTATCAAAGTTTTCTGTTTTGAGTAGCTGTAAGAATATTAAATGCCTAGAAAGTCACCTTTTGCAATCTAGACCTTTTTCTGAGCATTGCTGACTTTGTATATTTAAATGTTTAACTGTGCTTCTATGACATTTCAAATATATTTTTGTTCAAGAATATTCACTGGTTAAACACTGAGTATCTTTCAGTTTGTTCTTAAAAATAAGTTCCCCTCTAAAAATAAGAATTTACTAAAGCTGAATACACATGTTTGGGTCACACAAATTAGATTAGCCTTCTGAGAGATGCAGTACTTGAAAACAAATGGCAGCTGTGGAGAAAGAAACAAACAAACTAAAATTTTTGCACAGAGAGATAAGAGTTTTTACTTTTTGTTTAAAGTGTAAGTAGGGTTTCAGAGATTCCAGGAAGAAGATGTAGTGTATAATCTTAGCCAATAGACCGCAGGGTGGAGTGCTAAAAATGTGTACACATGGATGTAAAGAGTAGAATGAGAGACAGTGGAGACTCAGAAGGGTGAGGGATGGGGTGCAGGAACAGAAGATGAGAAATTACGTAGTGGGTACAGTGCACATTATTCATGTGATGGACCCCCTAAAAGCCCCAACTTGACCATTGTGCAATCTCTGCATGTAACAAAATTGTACTTGTACTCCATAAATTTATATAAATTTAAAGAAAGAAGTTGTGTAAACAAAGCCACTAGATAGTGGGTGGGTAGGCAGAGCCTGTCCTCTCTGAATACACTGCACTGTTGTGCAGTAAAGGACAGACTTTGCTCAAGAAAACTTTAGCCTCTGTCCAGCTCCTGGAGGTAACCCCTTAGCCCTTGGAATGTTCTGCTTGGTAAGACTGTCTATACTTACCTGAGAGCCTTGGGTCTTCCCAGGTAGTCTACACTAAACCATATGATTTCTAGTGGGAACTTTGGGCCGTGCAGTAGCAGTGTGACCTCTAGTGACCTCTGGAGGGGTTGCAGACTGAAGACTAGCCACATAGTTAGTTAGCCATGTCTACGTGACTACCCGTTTCCTTCTTCCCTATAAAACTCTTGAACACAAATTCTTGGTGAGCTTCCCTGAATGGCAAGATTCTGGGCGTATTGACATATATTGACGTGGAGAGACGAAATCCCTCTCCGTCCAACTCCCCTAAGAAAGGATGGTTGAAAAATTGCACCTGAAACTCTCCTGGGCCCTACCCTACGCACCTCTTCTTATTTCTAATTTTCACCTGTGTCCTTTTGCTGTGTTAAAGTTTAACCATGAGTTAAATGCTTTTGCTGAATTCTATGAGTCCTTCTAGAAATTCATTGAAATTGAGACTAGGTTGAGGAAACCCAGAAACTACAGCTGCAGTTTATAAAAATTAGGAGCTTTTTCTGTGTTCCCTCTAGGACCTTGCCATTGTTCCTATCATGGCCCTTGTCATGCTGTATTCTAATGGCTTATCTATTTGTTAGTCACCTTCAATACTGTGCAATTCATAAGCTAGGATTGTTTCTCATCCTGTTTCTATTTCTTTTTGTTTTTTTGTAGATTTTTTTTTACTCACTTGCAATGTTTTGATTTGTGTTTAATAACACGAAGAAGTATTTAACATCCTTTGATAAATGAAAAAGAGTTACGAAATTATTCCAGGTGAATTACTTAGTACTATCTTAGCAATTGTACATTCTCTTTTCAAATATGTTTACTTAGAAAATTATCCTGTTTATTGAATTATTTCAAATTTAAACAACAATATTTTTCTCCATGATTTCTCATTTTAAATATCTGTTTTTTAAATTTACACATAATAATTGTATATATGTATTAGGGTACACTATGATGTTTTGAGACATATAATGTGTAGTGTTAAGATAGAGTTAATTAGCATATCCAACATCTAAAACATTTATCACTTTTTTGTGTTGAGAACATTCAATATACTCTTTCTAGCTGTTTGAAACTATGTATTATTGTTAACTGTAACCATCTTACAGTGGTAGAACTTATTCCTTTGTAGCTATAATTTTGTATCTTTTAACAAATCTCTCCCTGTTCCTCCCCCTATTCTACCCAGGCTCTAGTATCCTCTGTTATACTTTTTACTTCTGTGAGATCAACATTTTTTTAGCTTCCACATAAGAGTGAGAAGAACAGGCAGTGTTTCAGTCTGTTCCTAGCTTATTTCACTTAACATAATGCCCTTTAAGTCCATCCATGTTGCCTTGAATAACAAAATTGTATTCTTTTTATGGCCACATGGTATTCCACTGTGAATATATACCACATTTTCTTTATTCATTTATCTATTGTTGGACACCTAGGCTAATTCCATATCTTGGCTATTAGAAATAGTACTGCCGTGAACATGGGGATGCAGATGTCTCTTTGAAATACGTATTTTCTTTTTCTTGGATAAATTCCCAGTAGTGGGATTGCTACATCATATGGTGGTTCTATTTGTGGTTTTATTTATTTATTTATTTATTTTTTTTAGGAATTTTTACATTGTTCTCTATAGTGGCCGTACTAGTTTACATTGCCACCCACAGTATATAAGAGTATGCTTGTCTCTGCATTCTTGCCAGCATTTGTTATTTATTGTCTTTGATAATAGTCATCCCAACTGGGATGAAACAATAACTCATTGTGATTCTCATTTCCATTTAACTAATTATTAGTGATGTTGAGCATTTTTTCGTATTTTTTTGCCATTTGTAATATTCTTTTGAAAAATATCTGTTCATATTTTGGCCCATTTTTGAAATTTTGTTATATTTTATTTTTTAAGTCCCGGGGTACATGTGCAGGATGTGCAGGTTTGTTAAATAAGTAAGTGTGCGCCATGGTGGTTTGCTGCATTTATCAACCCATCACCTAGGTGTTAAGCCAAGCATGTATTAACTCTTTTTCCTAATGCTCTCCCTACCCCATTGACCTTCCCCCACAGGCCCCAGTGTATGTTGTTCCCTTCCCTGTGTCCATGTGTTCTTTTTTCAGCCCCCACTTATAAGTGAGAACATGTGGTGTTTGGTTTTCTGTTCCTGCATCAGTTTGCTAAGGATAATGACTTCCAGCTTCATCTATGTCCCTGCAAAGGTCATGATCTAGTTTCTTTTTATGGCTGCATAGCATTCCATGATGTATATATACCATATTTTCTTTATCCAGTCTTTCACTGATGGGCATTTGGGTTGATTCCATGTCTTTGCTATTGTGAATAATGCTGCAATGAACATATACATGCATGTATCTTTATAATAGAATAATTTATATTCCTTTGGAATATAAATTGTTCATTGAACAAATGAATCCTTGATAGCAGCTACACCAGTAATGGACTTGCTGGGTCAAATGGTATTTCTGGTTCTAAATATTTGAGGAATTGCCACTTTTGTCTTCCATAATGGCTGAACTAATTTATATTCCCACCAACAGTGTGAAAGTGTTCCTATTTCTCCACAACCTCACCAGCATCTGTTGTTTCTTGACTTTTTAATAATCGCCATTCTGACTGGCATGAGATGGTGTCTCATTGTGGTTTTGATTTGCATTTCTCTAATGATCAGTGATGTTAAGCTTTTTTTCCATATGTTTGTCAGCTGCATGTATGTCCTCTTTTGAGAAGTGTCTGTTCATGACCTTTGCCTACTTTTTAATAGGGTTGTTTGTTTTTTCTTGTAAATTTACATTCCATGCTCATGGATAGGAGGAATCAATATTGTGAAAATGGCCATACTGCCCTAATCAATTTATAGATTCAGTGCTATCACCATTAAACTACTATTGACAGTCTTCACAGAATTAGGAAAAACTATTTTAAAATTCATATGAAACCAAAAAAGAGCTTGTATAGTCAGGACAATCCTAAGCAAAAGAATAAAGCTGGAGGCAGTGTGCTACCTAACTTAAAACTATACTACAAAGCTACAGTAACCAAAACAGCATGGTAGTGGTACAAAAATGAGCATAGACTAGTAAAACAGAATAGAGAACTCAGAAATAAAACCACACATCTATAACCATCTGATTATCGACAAACCTCACCAAAAAAAAACCAAGGCAGGAAGAATCCCTATTTAACAAATGGTACTGAGAGAACAGGCTAGCCATAAGCAGAAAATTAAAACTGAACACCTTCCTTACACATTTTACAAAAATTAAAGATGGATTAAAGACCTAAATTTAAAACCCAAAACTATAAAAACCCTAGAAGAAAATCTAGGCAATAGCATTCAGGACAAAGGCCAGGACAAAGATTAACAAAAGCAAAAATTGACAGATGGGATCCAAGTAAACTAATTAAAGAGATTTTTGCCTATTTTTTAATCAGATGTTTTCTTTTGAGATTTTTTATTGTTGCGATGTTTGAGTTCCTTGTATATTCTGTATATTAATTTCTCGTCAGATAAATTGTTTGCAAATATCGTCTTCTCTTCTATAGGTTGTCTTTTCACCCTGTTGACTGTTTTTATTGCTGTCCAGAAGCATTTTCGTTTGTTATAATTCCACTTGTTTACTTTGCTTTTGTTGCCTGTATTTTTGAGATCTTATTCATAAAATCTCCCTAGACCAACATTCTGCAGTGTTTCTCCTATGTATGTTTTCTTCCAATAATGTTATAATTTTAGGTCTTACATTTAGATCTTTAATGCATTTCGAATTGATTTTTGTATAGGTTGAGAAGTGGTAGTCTGGTTTTTTCATCTGAATACGAATGTGCAGTTTTCCCCACACCATTTATGGAAGAGACTGTCTTTTCTCTAATAAATGTTCTTGGCACCTTTGTGAAAAATGAGTTCACTGTAGGTGTGTGGATTTGTTTCTGGGCTCTCTATTCTGTTCTCTTGGTCAGTGTGCCTGTTTTTATGCCAGCACCATGCTCTTCTGATTACTACAGCTTTGTAGTGTATTTTAAGACTGGCAGTGTGATGGTTCCAGTTTGTTCTTTTTGCTCAGATTCCTTTGGGCATTCAAGGTGTTTCATGGTATAATACAAATTTTAACAATTATTTTGATTTTTCTATGAAGAATGTCATTGGTTTTTTGATAGGGATTGGACCAAATCTGTAGGTTGCTTTGCATGGTATGATCATTTTAGCAATATTAATTATTCCAATCCATGAACATAGATGTCTTTCCATTTGGTTTTACCCTCTTCAATTTCTTTTATCAGTGTTTTGTAGTTTTCCTTGTAGAGCTATTTTATCTGCTTGGTTAAAATTTATTCCTAGGTTGTTTTTTTTTTTCTTAAGCTACTGTAAATGGGATTGCCTTCTTGAATATTTTCAGCTAGTTTATTGTTCATGTATAGAAATGCACTAATTTTTCTGTGTTGACTTTGTATCCTGCAAAAACCTTTCAATTTCTTTTTCTTTTTCTTTTCTTTTCTTTTTTTTTTTTTTGAGACAGTCTCCCTCTGTCGCCAGGCTGGAGTGCATTTGGCGCCATCTCGGCTCAC
This sequence comes from Homo sapiens, assembly GCF_000001405.40. Taxonomy (NCBI): domain Eukaryota; kingdom Metazoa; phylum Chordata; class Mammalia; order Primates; family Hominidae; genus Homo; species Homo sapiens. The sequence continues at coordinate 51,715,007 of NC_000002.12, forward strand.
TGCAACCTCCGCCTCCCCAGTTCAAGTAGTTCTCCTGCCTCAGCCTCTTGAGTAGCTGGAACTATAGGCATGCACCACCATGCCCTGCTAATTTTTGTATTTTTAGTAGAGATGGGGTTTCACCGTGTTGGCTAGGATGGTCCCTATCTCTTGACTTCGTGATCCACCTGCCTCAGCCTCCCAAAGTGCTGGGATTACAGACGTGAGCCAATGCACCTGGCCAAAGCTTTCAATTTCTTATGCATAACAGAAGTTCTGGTTCACAGTAAGCTTGCCTCAATATGCAAATGTTGAGATATTGAACAAAAGCAAGAAATGAAGAAAGAACATTTCAATAGATCACGCAGAGTTAATTTCCTTAAAAATGGATTATCCAAAAGGCAAATGTGATCAAATGCCTTGGACCACCTTCACATTACAGCCCCAAAATGGCTATTGATAAAATGGGAATACTGCTCTTCCATTAGCTTGACATAGATAAGAAAATTCAGTTTTCTTATGGCATAGTGTCTGTATTTGCTGTCCATGATTTCCATTAACAGAGCGTTTTGGACTGGGGGAAAAGTAAGATTATATTTTCATCTCAGGACCTAGGAGTAACACCTTATCAGATCAAGGTCAAAACTAAGCAGATAGTGACAATGTAATGAATGTTGAAACTGAAGTTTAAGGTTACCCACTTAAAAACGTTTAAGAGCTAATGATTTTTTCATCATTATAGACACAGAGATGTTTTATAAATGTGTGATTGAAGAGCCTGAGGAAGATACGAAATGAAGTCAAGATAAACTGAAATGAATATCAAGGAGGCATGATTAGATTCTGATTGTGACTAAGAAAGCTTAAATCTAATCACCATTACTACAATCAAAACAAAACGAATATTTTTAAATGGAATGAGAGTAAACTTCAAGAAATTTCTAGTACTTTCCATAAGAAGAGAGTATGCCAATTAGCTGATCTGAAGGACTAGTCCATTTAGAAGGTTTACACTTATCATACAGATGGCTGTCTTGAGTTTAAATATTTTGAAGCCATTAGCCATTAATATTTCTCTGTTTTTATTTTAATTGAATCACATTGTTTCCCCATAAAATTTCTGTGTCTGTGGACTATATAATCATTCTACCCATGAAGCATCTGGACAGAGAGAGAAAAATTAAATTTGTGCATCTAAAAAGCTAAAGACAAGACCCAGGCATGTGTTACACACAAAGTAGAGCCAAGCTATTGGCTTTGTTTAGGCAGGGAGGAGAATTTCCTTGGATTATACCTCCAGTAACAGAGCAAGGCTCTTCAACTTCGAGATGAGATATAGATATAGATATAGATATAGATATAGATATAGATATAGATATATGTATATGTGTGTATATATATGTGTATATATACACATATATATGTATATATGTGTATATATACACATATATACACATATATATGTATATATGTGTATATATACACATATATACGTATATATATATATATATATATATAGTGGGAGACAGAGAAAGCAGAAAAGGGTTAGATAATTTAGAAGAGAAAAATTAGTTAAGGAACACATAATATTTAATATAATCACTATGTTTGGTATTGCTTCCTCATTTAAATTTGTGAGGAGTGCCTCTATCTTGTTGCCACAATCAATGCTAATGGAGTGTAAAGAGTTTATATTCCTAGCTATAATTCACACAGGCAGCCAGCCTGGCTATTTGGGTAAGCTTGGGCTCCTCTCATCTTCCGATCTTGAGCAATGTGTGTACACGTATGGCACTGTGTGTATATGTGTGTGCTACCGTGTGTGTGCCTGTGTGTGCGATTACATTTATATGATCAAAGCTTTTGTGAAACGGGATATAAAATAGGAAATCTAGGAGATGCTCCATGTTTTCGGTCCAAAAACACATGCACAATTCAAAGAAGAGTTAAGTTTATATATATACACAGACATACTAGCACACTTTTTTTTTTAACTGAACAGAAAAAAATCAACAATGATTACACATAAGAGGGCATTCATGGGAAGGAATACAGAATTATCCAAGGACTAATTTCTACTACAATTCTTGCCCAGGAAAACTCTCCTAACACCTACAAATACATTTTCTAAATAGGGAGCAATCATCTTAAATTTATTACTTTGTCCCTCTGGGTAATGTCATACCTTTCCTTTGCTGAACCATCTTTCATATATGGCTAGATGAAACCTTGTCTCTGGAGATGGACATGGGGATTCAGTAGAGAAGAAGAAATGGAAGGCATTATCTCTTTATGTAACCCAGTCTTATGAGACTGTGGTCAAAGTTCAAGTTAGTAACAGTTTGGTTTAATGGTCATTGGAGAGTGATAAGAAGAATGCATCAGAGAGGAATATATTCCAGAACACAGCTTTCCACCTGGATTATTATTTTATTGAGACTATAAAAGGATTCTGTCTTTATGAGTCGCTGTGTGTACAAATCTCATCTCACAGGTTCTGAAGAGCCTGAATGTCAGTGGTGATTCATTTCCACACTACCATCTTAATGGTCAGACTGTTTATGTGACTGGAAAGGATTCACAAAGAAACAATGACTCATGAGAAGCTAGTAGATGTGAACAAGCTTATGGTGCATTTTTAGTTTATGGACTAAAAATTTGAGATTTAAGTTTTAAGTTGAAGAAAGAGATGTTTAGAAATTGCGGATGTATTATTTTCGCTTAAGAACACAGTCGGCCCCTGTATTCATAGCTTCTGCACCTGTGGATTCAATATCAGTGCCAAAAATATTTCTAAAAATCAATGATAATAAAAATAATAATACAACAATAAAACAATACAAAATAAAAACTCAGCACAGTATAACTATTTACAAAACATTTACATTGCTGTGGTTATTATAAGTAATCTAGAGATGATTTAAACTACATGAGAGGATATATGTAGGTTACATGCAAATATTATGCCATTTTATACAAGGCACCTGAGCATTGACAGATTTTGTTACCTGAATGGGTTCCTGGAATCAATCCCCCACAGATACTGAGGGAGGGGGTAAATTAGGACTAATTTACCCCTAAAGTCTCTTCCAGATTTATAATTGTTTTACTATGTAATTGCTAAATTATCATCCTGCTAAAATTAACATGAAATTTCAATCTTAATTCCTTGGAATATCAAGTGATCAGATAAATAAATATGATGTACACATCAAACAATTCTACTTATATTTTTAAAAAATGTTGTAAACTTAAAAATATGGCAGACAATTGAAATTCTTGTAATGACTTGTAAAAGAATCCTCTTATTTTTAGTGCTACTTACAGGTTCGTGTTAAATGTTATATGAAGCCATTGGCTCATAAGTATGTATGTTTTTTAGCCTACTCTATTTGTTCAGCTCTATTGTTACCTTTAAAATCCTTATCCACTTGGGACCATTGTGCGTGTACTAGGCTCTACTTCAAAATATGACCCCCAGATCTTTTGCTTACAAGTTTTTGTCTTATTTATTATGTTACATCATTAGATGGGAAAAAGGCTTTACACATAAACACAGAGGAAATTGCATATCATGAGGTTATTTTTGACAAGCCACAGAATATATGCATAACCTCTAAATTAAAAAGCAATGTGATAATAAAAACAAATATTCTGAGAACTTGACATAAACTATTCTGATTTCTTGGGCCTAATTTAATGCACTTTCTTCCTTTACTCTCTTTTTTTTTGGTTTCTTTTCTATTTTCTTTTTTTTTCTTTCCAAATTTTATTTTAGGTTCAAGGGGTACATATACAGGTGTGTTACATGCGTAAACAGCATGTTGCAGGTGTTTCGTATACAAATAATTTCAAGTACTCAGAATTTGGGAGGGAGAGGTTAAATCCAGAAGTCTTCCCTTTCCCTGTGCCTTTTCTATATAATCTCCATGCTCTGAGAGAAGTCTCATGTTATTTTTCTGATTTTAGGAGAATGATTAGGCAACATTTGTTAGTGTGCAGGATTCCAGTACACCAACAGATTCTGTACATAACAATAATGCTTTTGCTAGGATCCTCTTCCAAATTGGTAAGAGCAGTTAGTTACCCCACTTAAGGCCTGTTCATACTAGTTCTTCTTGCATCACACAAGAAGTTTAAACAAAGGTTTTCATATGACTTTGTACTTCAGGCTGGCTGGTCCTCAGAGCTGTGTTTGAGTTTGAGGTTGAAATGTTAGAGATACTTGTTACTCACTAAGTGACATACTTTTAACCAGAGAGACCTGAATCCAGATTTCAGGTACTAGCTCAAATCTTAGTAAACAGGATTTAATATTTGTGTTTGCCATTGCTTGCTTATTGCTCTTTGTGTATAATTCTCCCTTCAGTATCATGGTATAAGAAATGCAGAGGCCAGAGTAAAAAAAAAAATTACGAAAATTTAAATATTCAGGATACATGTGAAGGTGAAAAGAAGAGTCTCAAGAACTATACAGAGAATGGCAAGATCACCACTCCAAATTCTTAAAAGTCATTAAGAAACCATGGGATGGCAAATGACCTTCTTCAGTAAAGGAGGCAATGAATATACTGTATGTGGATTGTCTCCAAAGAATGTAGAAATAATGTAGTACAATTCATTGTTTTGATGAAATAGTTCTCTTAACTGATTTTACATTCACCTGTTATAAACCAGCTGGAACAGCTTAATTAGCTTCTTGGCAAAGCTAAAGCTAATTTTTTCATTTTTATTATTTTCTGCTTTTCCCTCATAAGCAAACCTTTCCTCCATCTTCAACTCACTGCCTGTAATAGACTTTTGTTACTCAAATTGCACTACATAAACCAGCAGCACTGACATCAGCTGGGAACTTGTGAGAAATGGTGAATGCAGGACCCACACAACAGCTACTGGACCAGTCTGTTTTTTAAACATCAACCTGGATAAGAAGTGGCACAGCAGAAAAATAAGTGGTGCAATAGCAGTATGATGCTGCTATGATCTTTGCCTGCAGTGGTAATAGTGAATCTTGATTGTGATATTTATTGGAGATAATATGTTATTTTTTTTGTTTAGAATAATTAATGATAAAAGTAGATAATTTGGGCCTCATTTTGTCAACCTGATTTTGTATGTGTCCTTCTAACAAGTTTTGGAATTTGACAAGTGTGATATTTGAATGAGAATGATACAAAAACCTGAAAACAACTTTGAAGATGCTAGGGAAGTTATTTATGTTCTAGTAGAAGATGGCGCAAACTCTTGCACTTTAAAAAAGAAAGAAAATGTCTCTTGTATCCTGAATGATGACTGGAACTCAGCTGCTTAAGAAAATTTGGAAAGATCATTAATTTTTGTCTTATTTCTCCAATTGGAAAAGGAATAGTTTTGTTTTACAACTTTAATTTCAGTGTGGGAACTTGATGATAGAAAATGTTTCATATTATTCTCAAATAGTATGCTGTATATTACTGGCATTATATTTCTTTTAGCAGAAAAGAAATGTCTTACACTCTGTCTTTTCTAGAATCTAGTTTGTATATTTTAAGTCTATAATATACAATGATTCAAGGTACAAGATTAACAGGAAATAGATTTTTATCCTAGAAGATAATGTGATCTTTATGTCCATTTTGTTCCCATTTTATTATACCACCTTTTGAAATTTATACCAATGAGAAACAACAGCAACAACAAAAACCAAAAAAACCCCTCCATGAGATATTGAATTTCCACTTCATAAGACCTAGATGGATACATGGGGACACTTCCAGAAAAGTCCTCCCCCAAAGAGAAGAGCCCCAAATTAGCAGTTAAAAATAAACATAGCTCTTTGGCCTCTGATTCTTCAGAGAGAATGATTTCATGGGAACATTGATTAGGGAAAAGAAAAAAAAAAAAGGATCTACTTTCATCACTTTCTCTTTTCTTAATTGGGCTTCATTTGCAGTAAGACCTAGAAAATAGACTCACTAGATTCTAGTAGTCTCATTGGACCTTGCTTATTCGAGAACTATGAAGTAAACACAGCCTGGTGGTTCATGTAGGACATGTGATGAAATTTCACCTAATTTGAACTAAAATGATGCAATGATTGCATGTTCAAAGCCTTAAGTATCACAATATGAATTTTACTTTCATTTGTTAATAGACAGACCTTGAATAATTCTATATCTTAAAGTTTCCTAATCTATTTCAGTGGTCAGAAGTAGAATAATTTTGGAGTAAGCATCTCTGGAAACAGGCAAAGTAAGTCAGAATTTATTATTAAATACCTAGTGTAAAATGATAACATTGAATTAGGAATGATGACTACAGGGAGGAAGTAGAGTAAAGATTGTAGATGCCATTTTCATCAGAGGAAAGGAAGGACAGGGACTTCATTTTGGAGCAATTTGCTAATGATGAGGCACCGATGGTACTGCTAAGAAAACTGGTTGAGGACAGTGAAGATGTTCAGTCCTTAGGCTGTGGATGTGTCAGTGGTTAAAGAGGTAAAAACACCCAGTAGAACTGGGGTTAAGTTACAATGATAAAAATCAGATAATTTAATTATATGGAAGTGATTAAAGGAAATTAGAAAAATAATTTAGAATAGAGGGACGACAGAAGAGCAGGGGAGGGAATGGAAAGGGAAGAGGCAGAAAGAGAGGAAAGGGAATAAAGAAGGAGGGAAAAGAAAGGAAAGAAAGAAAAGAAAGGAAGGAGAAGAGGTATGAGAAAACCTATGAAGTGGTAAGAAGAGATTAATCTCAGTTTGGGGGCATACAAAGTTGAGAGACATGAAAAAGGAAAAAGAAAGCAGGATTTTTTTAGTTGCTCTTGATAATCTAAAGAGTATCAAGGTCAAGGGTCACAAAAAACGTAAAAGGAGAAAAATTTTAGAAAAATCAAACAAAAATCTGGTAGTGTCAAATTCTGCCAACAAATTAGGGAAGATGTAGACAGAGAAAGGCCCATAGGATTTGGGAATTTGGCAATTTGATCTGTACTGATTGAATGAGAGAGGTTATGCAGTAGAATGATGAGGAAGACAGATTACTGGGCATGAGGAGATAATCAATAGTGATTATTTAGAAGAGACAAGAAAGAATAAACTTAAGATGGAAAAATAGGATATCATAAGGAAGAAAAAAGTACATAGTGTATGACATATGAAGAGCTTTGAGCTAAAAAGCCATGTGCCTTGGAAGGATAGAACCTATAAGATAAAATCTCTGTCCTGAAAAACCTTACATTCTACTAGGATGGTAACATGAGTCTCTACATTGCAATGTAAGTATATGATAAATATCAAGAGGCTTCATTTACTTGCATGCTCTCTTCCTCCTTCCATGCCTACTGTGTAAACATAGCTCTCCATATTTATTGCTTGTATTTTTGCAATAGACTTATAACTTATTTTAGTCTCATGCCATTCTCTAACCTGATTCACAATTATGGAGCCCTTTATATACCCACATGGATCTTTTTGCTTTTCAAATTAGTAAGTGGAGGTCAAGGGTGCCAGATGCTGCAATGCATGGAGCAATCCTATACAACTAAGGCTTGTCCTGTATGACTCAAGATTTGCAAATGTCCAAACAGGCTAAAACCATAACAAATACAGACTGGGATGACTATAGAACATAATAATCTGAGAGAGCTGTTAGCAAGAGTTATATAAAAAGCTTAGTAGATTAGAGAATGTTGTTGAAAGTGAACTTGTATGAAAAAAAGACGTTAAAATTTATTGAATAGAATATGTATTTATTCTATTTTTTGGTGTATTATAGCATCTCCAGTCACACCTTTAATTGAAAAGATTTTCAGTACAGTACAGAAGTGCAATTAGTATAAACTCAATGAAACCAATTGCAAATTCATAACGGTAGAGGTTTTTAAACTCCTTTTGACAGATTTTTAAATGTGTTATAAATCAATAAAGATACATGAAAATAAGGTATTCCATGAATTTCATTTATAAAGTTTGTTTAAAAAATAATGCATATTATTGCATTCCTATTAATATATTTAGAAATTTGTAATGAAATGATAAGTAACAAGATTTGTAAAAATTGAATATGGAAGAATTTGATTTAATATAGCCTCATTTGTTATCTTTCTCTGATATTATCTCCAAAAGTCTCTCATATACCTCTTCTGTGGTTTTTGGTATTTACTATTTTTCTTCTTGTTTCATCTATTATTCTTTGTTGTTTAGAGAACGATATAGTCTCCAGTGTCTTTTTAAGCAGTAGAGACTTAAAGCATGTCCTGATGTGAGGAGGACTTTTAAGACAGATTATAATGTTTCATCATTGCCCTAACCCATGTCATGAACATAGATAATTATTTTGACACTATGTTTATCTATAAATTAGTCGTAATTCATTTGACAGAATATTATACGTATTTGTTTTCTTCACTCTGACTGTGATTTTTTTTTTTTTTTTGGTGTGACTCCGTCTATAGTGCTCTGTGTCTATTTCTATCTCTCGTTACCACTTTAGTTTTAACTTTGGTTTCTAAATATTAACTGCCATTATTTTATTTTCATATTCATTGAGCACATACTATGTGCCATAAACATGTGAGATACTAACTATATAACCCAAACAAAAAAGACAAATCTCTCTTCTCACAGAGCATGCATTCTAGCATGGGAGAAAGAGCATAAACAAATAAATGGGTTGAAAAGTGTGTAAGTGGTGACAATTGCTGCGGAGAAAAATAAAACAAGGCAAAAGGAACTGGGAAAAGAAATGTTCACATTTTATACAGGGTGATTAGGGAATCTCTTGCTGATATTTAAGCTTAATTAAGAGGAAATGAGAAAGAGAAATATGTGGTTATCAGGGCCAGGCAATAGCAATTTCAAAGTCCTAAGGCAGGAAGGCACCTGACATCTTCATAAAAACCACAAGAAGAGAGAAAAACTGGAGCAAAGTATGTTAATTGGGAAAGAAGGTTGGAGAATTGCCAGGGACAGAGGATGAAGGATTTGAAAACCACCGTAAGAACTTTAGTTTAATGTTCAGCATAAAATGAGAAGTCAAGGACAGAATTGTAGTAGAGTGGCATAATCTGACTTAACATTTTTAAAGGATGACTCTGGCTTCTATTTTGAAAACTGTCTTAAAGCTAGGATATAAGGAGAGAGACCAGGTACATGGCTATACCAGTATATATCACAAGAAAAATAATAGGTTGGGTATTTATTATTTAAAATGTTTGGAACCAGAAATACTTCGGATTTCGGATTTTTTTATTTTGGAATATTTGCATATGAATAATTACATATCTTGGGGTTGGGACTCAAGTCTAAACACAAAATTTGTTTATGTTTCACATACACCCTGTACACATAGCCTGAAGGTAACTTTATACAATATTTTAAATAATTTTATGCATGAAACAAAGTTTTAACTGCATTTTGACTACATCCTGACATATGAGGTCAGGTGTGGAATTTTCCACTTGTGGCATCAGGTTGGCATTTGAAAAGTATCACATTTTAGAGGATTTCAGATTTCAAATGTTTGGAGTAGGGATGCTCAACCTGTAATACATAATTAGGAAAGTTCTCTACTTACTTTCATATGTAGCTTTGTGAGTGTTTACTAACTGAATGTCTAATGATGACTTCTGTGTTTTAAATTCAAGCAGTAATTGGCTAGACAGTACTACCTTGCTATCTTTGCTTATAGCAACTATTATTTCATTAAATATTTATTGGAGACTTGAAATGTGCCAGACATTGTGCTGGGCACTAAAGATAAAATAGCAAGTAAAACATGCACACTCTTTATATCCATAGACCTTATATTCTACTAGATAAATTGCTTTAGTTTGTATTTATTATTTCTCTTATTTTCCATATTCTTTTCCTCCTCCCCTAAATTGCATATCCCTTTGAAAATGGATTATGCATCTAATTATGTAGTGTGGATTCATTCATTTATATAATAATTGACAGCCTGTGTGCCATGTACTGAGCAACTCGTACCACTCCAGTAAGTTGGACCTTGCTGAGACTAAGTGAATGTTCAGTAAAGTCTTTCGGAGTTGAACTGATTTGAATATTAAAAACAATAAACAGCAAAGAAGACAGGTAAAGAGTTAAGGAGCTGTATCATAAAATATAGGCAGGGAGCATGCAAATTATGTTCCCTCTGTGCTGGAGTTGCTGACCCTAATGGCTTTTGCTTATCATTTGCAAGCCTTTCTTATTCTCAGTTTACTTCAGTCACCTTCACTGTCAAAGCAGGACAGTAATACTTGCTGACCTTTCAGGGATGGATGAAAGAGCCAAAAAAACCATGCAAATGATTGCATACAAATGATCAGGCTGAGAGTGGCTCAATATAAATGCTAACTAGAAAAGGATGCAATTCACTTCACGCTATAATTTCAGTGCACAAGGAGACGTCGGACCATTGATTACCCCCTCTTATATGTGAAAAATAGATAAAAAGAAATTTAGCATTCACAACTATAACAAAACGTTTGTTCAAAGCTCTTGTTATAGTAAGTCTTCTTTAAGAACCAAATGTTTATTTTGAAAATATAGTCATGAAGTAAATAGAAAATGTGTATAACCATCATAATTTTCTAGGAATAGAATAGAGATGTAGACTTTACCATTTGAATCAAACAATTTCTTCTCCCTTGATCATTCAAATAGAAGAGGGAAAACCCACTGTGAAGTTACAAACCCAGATAAAAACTTTTAGCTGTATTTTTTTACTCTTTACTCCAGATTTCCATCTTTAATATAAATAAGGTTATAAATGGTTGGTTCTGTTAGTTTATGTAACATGTTTTAATTTTTTTGTATGCTTTCCTACTACATATTGCTATGGATATTAAGTTTGATGTATACATTATTATATAATACATGGTTTTACACTAAAATAGATATGACATCAGTGATCTTGAGCAGGCAAGACACAAGGGTAGATGTAGAAAAATATTATGTTGAATTTCTATTCAACATGCTTATTTCATTTAATACCATACAGACTAGGTGGAAAAACTCTATTTTAATCAATGTATTGATTCCAACCCCAACTTCTTTCCTACCTTTTCTTCTTTCTTTTTTTTCTTACTTTCATTTTAATAATATATTTGAAGTGTCAAATCCAGTTAATTTGTAGAATGTCACAAAGCGTAGATAATCTGACTCTTTCCTCATTGTTGGATTCATGCTACACAATTTTAGCTCAAAATAGGCAATAGTTTTAAATGTATCACATTAGAAAGCACACAATATCAGGTTTATTTCTCCATTATTAATCCTTTGGTTAAGTTGGTATCTGCCAGAGTGCTCCACTAAAAAGTTAAGCATTCTGCTTTATAACTGCAATCTGTGGAAGGTCATTTGAGGCCATTGAATATCCTGTTTCACAACAAAATTTATTCCCTTGTTTTAACATTCAAATATAAATCTATAATTACATTGGTTATCGCAAGAGGGTGATTTTCTAGTTCTTTTCTCCTTTCTATACTTATTAGTCGTCATTATCTGTAATGAAAAATACCACCCTACTGCTGTGAGCGTTGCACAATCACCTTGATTTATTATTTTTACTATTAATTAATGTGCTATAATCCATTACTATTATAAGTATTTTTATACTTAAATTGTCACAAGCTTAGCCAGTAGCAACTTCTTCAAGGTAGATATTATGTCAATTTCTTAAAAATTATCAAATTATATGTACAGAAAAGTATACACAACATAAAGGCAGCATGAAAAATTTGACAAACACACATATGTAACCAGCACCCAAATATAAAAAAAAGTGAATGTTATCAGAACCACAATTATTTCACAGACCCTTCTAATCAATATTCTCATCAGTAGTCTCATCAACATTCTCCAACAAAGATAATCATTTTCTTGACTTTAAACATCATAGATTTGATTATTACATCTTTAAATTTTACATTAATGGAATTGTACAAAATGTAATTTTATTTCTGGCTTCAACTCATAAATTCATGAGATTCCTAATGTTCAATGCAGTATTATACTTATTTTTATTGCTATATATCATTGTATTTTATAAATTTAAACAATTTATCTACCCATTATATTTTAAATGGGCAAGTGAATTATTCCATTTGGAGCCTTATAAATGATGTTCTTTTGAACATTATATCAAATGCCTTTTTTAAAAAACGCAGATGTGCATTTCTATTGGCTACATACCTCTGGGTAGAAATGATGGACCAAAGAGTAGACGTGTTCTGCTTCAGTGGATATTGCCAAACATTTTCATAAATTTTTAACAGAATTTGAGGTTTTGACTAATGCACATTGTCATCAACAACTGTATGTTTTTTTAACCCCAGAAATTCTGATGGGTGTATTTTATGCTTTTAGTTCATGTTTACATTTAGAACTTTCTTTTACATTTAATTTGGATTGTGTTGATCAATTTGAATAGACTTGCCATTGTAATAACACTGGGTCTTCTGGTCCATGAACAAGTATATTTACCTATTTATATCTTCTTTCATTTCTCACTGCAATGCTTTATACTTTTTCATATACAAAATGTACCTTTTTATGTCCATCGTTCTACACCTTAATCTCTAAATAGTTCATATTTAAGGATGCTACTGCTTTTGATATTTCAAAAATGTTAAGTTTGAAATATTTGTTGTTGCTATATAAAATAGAGTTGATTTTTTCATATTGATCTTATATACTACCATCTAGCTAAACCTGTTTACTAGTTCTAGCAGCTTTGGGGCGTATTTTATAGGATTTTATATATATATATATATATATATATATATATATATATATATATATATGTATGTTCATGATAATCACAAATAAAAGCGATATTATTTTCAATCTCAAGGCTCTTTCTTCTCCTTGCCTTATTACACAGCTAGGACTACATTGTGAGTGTAAGTTGTGAGAACAGATGTCTTATCTACGTCCTTAACCTTGAGGAAAAGTAGTCATTCACCACTAAGTGTGACAGAAGCTGTAGGTTTTTCTAAGATTCACTTTATAATTTTAGGAAGTATCCTTCTATTTCTCATTTCCCAAGAGTTTAAACAGAAATAGATATTATATTAGTTATGTATGTGAATCTGTTAGTAGAATCACATGGTTTTTCTTTGTCATTATTATTATTATTATTATTTTGAGATGGAGTTTCGCTCTGTCACCCAGGCTGGAGTGCAGTGGCACGATCTCGGCTCACGACAACCTCTGCCTCCTGGGTTCAAGCAGTTTTCCTGTCTCAGCCTCCCGAGTAGCTGGGACTACCAGCGCCCGCCACCACACCCAGCTAATTTTTGTAATTTTAGTAGAGACAGGGTTTCACCGTGTTAGCCAGGATGTTCTCGATCTCCTGACCTCGTGATCTGCCTGCCTCGGCCTCCCAAAGTGCTGAGATTACAGACATGAGCCACCACGCCCAGCTGTCCATATTATTAATATTGCAAATTATATTGATTTTCAAATGTTATACTAGCTTTATTCTTGAGATTACTCACACTTTACCTTGGCATATTATAATTGGCTTTCATATACTCCTTTATTTGAGAAATATCTGTCTGTCTTTTATCTTTTCTTGTAATTTCTTTGCCTGAGTTTTGATATTAATGTTGGTCTCAAAAATTCTGTCTTCTGTTGTTCATAGTCTGCTTTTATCCATTTCTAACGTATTTTAAATTTTAGATATTATATTTCTCAGTTATTAAATGTCAATTTGGCTTCAGAGATTAAATGTATTTGTTGACTTATTATTCTAGATGTATTGTTGGACTATTATATTTTCTTAGATATAAGAACAAAAATTTTATTTATAACTAGTCAACCAACATCAATATCTAAATTACCTATAGGTCACTCTCTCTTTTATTTTCTAGATAACATTTTTAGAGATGTTTTATCTTTTTGATGGACCTTTAAAATTGTTATTAAATACTCAATACTGTGCTTATAAATTTTAGGGACTCCAGATGATGTCATATCTCCTTCAGTTTATCATTTCCTGCACTTGGCAGAAAGGATGGCATCTGATCCCATTTTTAAATTCTTTTATCAAGTATGGTGCTAGTTGGAAGTTGATTGTACAGTATCTTTTACACTATCTTTTACCAACACAACCTCATTCTTCTTTTTAAAGAAGAAGGTGAATAATTATTAAATAAGCATATTCACTTTCTTCTTATTAAATAAAAAGTGAAAAATTTTGTCTCTTTGTCCAAGTTGATTTTAATGTGCCTTAAGACAACAAGATAGACATATTCAGAAGGTCAGAAAGGTCTAAATATTAAGATAGATATTAACGTGAGACATTAATATTTGGAAATATTAAAAGAGTTGGAATCGTCTTGGAGAGTTGGGTCAAAATGATCAGAGAAAAGGTGAAGATTGGAACTCTGCAGAACATCAATAATATGTCACCTCAATGAATGTCTATATGACTCTTCAATCTATCTAAGGCATAGTAATAGCTTAATACCTAATTAATTATTAGTACTTTATATGATTATTAAATTAAGTAAGATTACTTACTCTAAGTGTCAGTTCTTTCTCGTATTCTATTGCATTAGTTGTACATATCCAGAGAGGTATTTTAAATTAGAAATGCAGGTAAATTTCACCATCAGGGCATTAAATAAAAACTTGTTGATTTATAAATATGTGTGTATATTCCAAAGTGTCTAAAATTTCTCATTGGTAACACCTGAGAGATATAGCATCATGGCCAATGTATATATCTTTCAATGAAAGGCGAGATTTATAAAGTTTTAAGTGCTTTAAATGAAATTTCCATTTATATATATCAGGTTACTATATGTAGCAACTATCAATTAGCCATTTCTGATTACTTTTTATAAAACTATGTCATATATAAACCTTAGGCACATTTTAATGAAAAATAAATAAAAAAGTAGTAGATCTATTATCATCACCATAATTTATCAATGTTTGGGCTACATTGCTGATTACGTCACTTAAAATACCAATTTAGAAAATTTACACAGTAAATCAAAGAAATAATTGAATATCAAGGATGTTTTGATTTTGTTTTAGATAACCCCTGTTGCTTTACATAGCTTTTTTCATTTGTAATACAAGATTTCCTTATATGTCCTTCCAAAATTTAAAATAAGTTTGTTATAGTAAAACTTGTGTCTGTTCACTCATTACCTAATTAATAACGTCTCCAATATATTTCACTGATTAGTAAGTTACTTAATCAAATAGTATATTAAATAATGTCACATATACTGAGTGATGACATTAATGTCAAGACCTCTTCATTTTTATTTACAAAATATGCTTAAACATTTTCCATTTCTTATTATATCTATAAAGATAAGCATGTTTATGAAAATTAGACACACAAATTATTTCTCGCCTGCTAGGAACTTTTGATTCATTCAGCAAATATGATGCCAAAATTATTGCAAAGTGAGCATCAATAGTTATACTGATTTGAATCCTAAGAAACTAAAGAAAATGTTGTGAAATATATCATTTTATGACATTAACTACTGAGACCATCAGACCCATAAATAGTGAAGTGCTATATAACAATGATGATAATATATTATATATGCACAAATAACATTTTTCCATTAACTTATGCGTACAAATTTTTACCAGACAGATAAAGCAGTCAGTTTAAAATAATAAAAGCTTGGAACTATTTTTGTGTGTCAATTCTGGAAAAAGGCAGGCGCTTGCTTCACGTCATCTAAGACAAGACACTTTTGACTGACTGTAATTCAGTGTACTTTTTCCACTACACATTAATCAGTTTCTACTGATTTATCCAACTCTTAACTATTACTGCAAGATCATACTAGCCTTCTCCCTTGCATCTGTCACCTCTCGCTCCCGTGGTGAGAAACCTGGTACCTAACATCTATCATCCATTTCCCTTAATCGTTCAATGCCAGTATACATCCATAGTGGTATCAGGATTGTTAAGCTGTACCAGGGTGGGGAAAATATTTCTTAACTAGAGTATGGTGCTTATGTACAATATCTTTTGTCAACAATTTTATGGACTCCACTAATTTCCAAAGTTACTTACGTCAACACCTTGTCCCTCTACCCCCTTCTCAGTGTGGTTGGTTCATATATTTACAGTACAGATAGATTCTCTGGCCAGAGTCTGCATTTCTTTCTGGAACTATGTAGTCTGCTAAATAGTTTTTGAAAATTTACATACATTAAGATTCAACAAATAATTTTTCAGGAAGCATCCCTTTGAAAAGTAAATTAACTACCCTTAAATAAATGTAAGATATATAGAAAACACAATTTTATACTCTTACTTTGGTTAACATAGAACACATATCTGTAGCAGCTGTTTGACAGAATTATGTTCAAATTGCTTGAGGCAATGTTTACACATTTGCAAAGTTAATCATTTTTATTTCTTACATTTTTTTTTTTTGAGACGGAGTCTCGCTCTGTGGCCCAGGCTGGAGTGCAGTGGCGCGATCTCCCCTCACTGCAAGCTCCGCCTCCCGGGTTCAGGCCATTCTCCTGCCTCAGCCTCCCGGGTAGCTGGAACTACAGGCGCACGCCACCACGCCCGGCAAATTTTTTGTATTTTTAGTAGAGACGGGGTTTCACCGTGTTAGCCAGGTTGGTCTCAATCTCCTGACCTTGTGATCCGCCCACCTCGGCCTCCCAAAGTGCTGGGATTACAGGCGTGAGCCACTGCGTCCGGCCTGCAAAGTTAATCATTAAAACATAAAATTAATACTTTTATTTCTTTTTTAAAAAAATACTGTTTTTCAACATTATCCTCAGCCTATCACCCAAACCTGTATATATCCCTTACTTCCCCAACGAGTCTGAAGGTTTTCGGAAGTATGGTGGTATGTTCTGGTGATTGACTTGTATGGAAACATTATAAATTGGAACAATAGGGCCAAGAATGGAAAGTGAGAAAAAATTTAAATTGGAGTAAAAATATGAGAGGATAAAAATGAGATTTCTGGTGCATCTATTTAACTCAATCTAACAT
This sequence comes from Homo sapiens, assembly GCF_000001405.40. Lineage (NCBI taxonomy): Eukaryota > Metazoa > Chordata > Mammalia > Primates > Hominidae > Homo > Homo sapiens. Next base: position 51,731,974 of record NC_000002.12, read on the forward strand.
TTCAGGAAGGCTCTCATTGGTCACAGTGGCTGGGGCAGAGGCAAACATATTAAATGGTAGTATGTACCAAATATCCCTCTGTGCAGTATCTGACAGCAATCCAGTAGAAATGAGATGAAGAAAGATGATTGCTTAGCTGAAATAAATAAGGCTTCCATTAATTAGAAACCAGTTTCATGCAAGGCATAAAAGGGGAAACACTTCCCTCTTCAATTTTCACTATTAACTTGAGAAAAAGAAAACAAGTCTAGGCTTTATAAATCAAAATGTGTTCTTCCTTCCCATTTAAAAATATTTACTTTTTCATGTGATGTAAAAATAATTGTCACAGAACCAGTAGAATTCTAGCATTGTTTATTTTATATGTGGTGAGCAGGAACATATTTAGAAACCAGCCACAAGGCAGTAAAATTGATTTCTGGTTTATCTGGTATAGCTTTGAGTCCCTCACTGAGCCAGGGAATAATTGATTGCTGCAAGCCTTGTAGCAGTGGTTAAAAATTGATAAATGCTAAAGAGAGCACGATGGTTTATAGCTTCTTAAAGATTGTGGAACCTCTATATTTCTCTCTCATCACCAGCTCTAGATCATGCGGTAAAATTTAAAAGGCTTTTTGTCTTTTCCTTTGTAAATTATGTTCAGCCACTCAGGAACCCTGTAGCTGAGAGGACCATGGGAACCTTTTAGTTAAATAAGGAGACGTGTGATTTATAAATGCAGGTTATATATTGAGTAGTATTTTATTGCTTTGTAGTAGCCACACCAATTAGAAAAAAAAGACAACTTTGACAATATCTTTCAAAGTGGCTAACTAATGTTTGGACTTTAAAAATGAATAGAATACTAAGAAAAAGTATTGAAATTTCTGCAGTGTTTCTCTATTTCAGCAATTTATAATTGTAGCTTTTAGAACTGGAAGAGAACTCAAGCATAGCATACTGCTTTTATTAGTCAGTTATTATTATTTCCATGTTATATAGAAGCTACAATGTTTTCAAAGTTGAAAGATTAATTAAAATTCTCTAATTGTATCTTTCTCTAGTTAAATGTGTAACTTCTAGAAACATTAATTTTCAAATTCCTTAATAATTTTAAACTAGTCCAAATAATTTTTCCATTCTTTTATTAGATTAAGGTAACATTTCTAACAGTTTAAAAAATATTTTAGGTGACACATGAAAATATATGAGAGGTTTATACCAAAAAAGTACATTAAAACATTTCATAGACTAACAGAACTAGGAAATATCTTCTGTATTAAATTATCAAGTTAAATTAAATTTTATATTAATTACCAAGTATTTTCTCTCAACTCAAACCTTATGAAACTCATGGTTAGCAATAATATAAATGATTTGAAAATTACATTACAGCTTTCACAATTTTTAATGTTTATTATAAACCTACATTAAGAGAATAATTTTCTAATTACCTTAAAAGAGCACTTTATAAAAGCTTAGGTGTGTTTTCTGGGTCTACATTGAAGAGTTTTACTGCATTTACCTTTTCTACCTTTTTAAAAATAATTTATAAGATAAACTAGGAACAGAGAAACACACACACACACACACACACACACACACACACACACACTACATCACTTTACATTCATGGCCCCTTTCCTTGGATGATTTTGGTGGAGAGGGGAATTACATACCAATTACGAACTGAATTAGGTTATTATTCCTGAACACTGCGTACACCATCCTAACATGCCCAGCCTCCACTGGGCATTAATAATTTTTAAAATACACCACTTGGGAAATTTATTTTAATGGATAAATGCAGAAACAATAGTGTGAAAACCTCCCTAAGGTAACAGGGCATTGATGGCATGGCATTCTGCAGATTCTAGAAGGCAAGGAAAAAACCCTTTAGAACCTAGAGACATGCAAAATATATTATAGTCTGTTCCAAATCCCTTACACTCATTAGGTTATTAAAAACTTCAACATGATTTAAGTATATTTCATTCAGTAAGTGAGAAAAGCAATAAAAATGGTTGTTATTATCATAAACTTAAAGAGTTCATCTAAAAATACTCTGCAAATTATCAACCGTCACATATAATAACAAGTGAACTAGCCCATTGGATGACATTCAAATTAGTAACCAGGTTCCACTGACACAGCTTAGAAATTTACAATTATTTTACCATCCTAGTTGATTCTAAATACATTTTGCCAGCATAGCTATTTCAAACTTTTCTAATTTAGGTTTGGTAATATATTAATTAAAAAGTTTTAAGGACTTTAGGTCTACTCTTCAGTCTTCACTGTACTCTGAGTTTAATTTGAGCCACACTAGCTGAAGGCCTGGAGCATAAAAGGGATTGTGCAATCTATGTTGCTTAATAGAATTCAAAGATAACTAAGTTACAACATCCATTTATAGAATATGGCCATTTGTAGGGAAGAGTTCTTTGCAAATGTTTCTCTTAAGGTAGTGACAACAGAAAGAAAAGACTATGGGTCACTACAAGTTATAGCACTGTGTGAAGAAAGCATTCGTATTTACTTGAGCAGATCTTACATAAAAGGAATGTTTTTCTGAGAAGTTTGAGCCAATGTATAAGGGAAAAAAATGAATGGTAAAGTATAAGTAATGTTAACAGAATGCCAGAATTGACCACAGTAAGTAAAAGAAAGTAAATACTTATATGCGCATGTATAAAATAATTAGAAATCTACCAATAAATCATGCTGCTATAAAGACACATGCACACGTATGTTTATTGTGGCACTATTCACAAGAGCAAAGACTTGGAACCAACCCAGATGTCCAACAATGATAGACTGGATTAAGAAAATGTGGCACATATACACCATGGAATACTATGCAGCCATAAAAAATGATGAGTTCATGTCCTTTGTAGGGACATGGATGAAGCTGGAAACCATCATTCTCAGCAAACTATCTCAAGGACAAAAAACCAAACACCGCATGTTCTCACTCATAGGTGGGAACTGAACAGTGAGAACACATGGACACAGGAAGGGGAACATCATACACTGGGGACTGTTGCGGGGTAGGGGGAGTGGGGAGGGATAGCATTAGGAGATATACCTAATGCTAAATGACGAGTTAATGGGTGCAGCACAACAACATGGCACCTGTATACATACTTAACAAACCTGCACGTTGTGCACAAGTACCCTAAAACTTAAAGTATAATAATAATAAAAAAAAAGAAATCTACCAAAATATTAGTGGCTTTCTTTCTTTCTTTCTTTATTATTATTATACTTTAAGTTTTAGGGTAAATGTGCACAATGTGCAGGTTAGTTACATACATATATATGTGCCATGCTGGTGTGCTGCACCCAATAACTCGTCATCTAGCATTAGGTATATCTCCCAATGCTATCCCTCCCCCCTCCCCCCACCCCACAACAGTCCCCAGAGTGTGATGTTCCCCTTCCTGTGTCCATGTGTTCTCATTGTTCAGTTCCCACCTATGAGTGAGAATATGCGGTGTTTGGTTTTTTGTTCTTGGGACAGTTTACTGAGAATGATGATTTCCAATTTCATCCATGTCCCTACAAAGGACATGAACTCATCATTTTTTATGGCTGCATAGTATTCCATGGTGTATATGTGCCACATTTTCTTAATCCAGTCTATCATTGTTGGACATTTGGGTTGGTTCCAAGTCTTTGCTATTGTGAATAGTGCCGCAATAAACATACGTGTGCATGTGTCTTTATAGCAGCATGATTTATAGTCCTTTGGATATATACCCAGTAATGGGATGGCTGGGTCAAATGGTATTTCTAGTTCTAGATCCCTGAGGAATCGCCACACTGACTTCCACAATGGTGGAACTAGTTTACAGTCCCACCAACAGTGTAAAAGTGTTCCTATTTCTCCACATCCTCTCCAGCACCTGTTGTTTCCTGACTTTTTAATGCTTGCCATTCTAACTGGTGTGAGATGGTATCTCATTGTGGTTTTGATTTGCATTTCTCTGACGGCCAGTGATGGTGAGCATTTTTTCATGTGTGTTTTGGCTGCATAAATGTCTTCTTTTGAGAAGTGTCTGTTGCTGTCCTTTGCCCACTTTTTGATGGGGTTGTTTGTTTTTTTCTTGTAAATTTGTTTGAGTTCATTGTAGATTCTGGATATTAGCCCTTTGTCAGATGAGTAGGTTGCGAAAATTTTCTCCCATTTTGTAGGTTGCCTGTTCACTCTGATGGTAGTTTGTTTTGCTGTGCAGAAGCTCTTTAGTTTAATTAGATCCCATTTGTCAATTTTGGCTTTTGTTGCCTTTGCTTTTGGTGTTTTAGACATGAAGTCCTTGCCCGTGCCTATGTCCTGAATGGTAATGCCTAGGTTTTCTTCTAGGGTTTTTATGGTTTTAGGTCTAACGTTTAAGTCTTTAATCCATCTTGAATTGATTTTGGTATAAGGTGTAAGGAAGGCATCCAGTTTCAGCTTTCTACATATGGCTAGCCAGTTTTCCTAGCACCATTTATTAAATAGGGAATCCTTTCCCCATTGCTTGTTTTTCTCAGGTTTGTCAAAGATTAGATAGTTGTAGATATGAGGCGTTATTTCTGAGGGCTCTGTTCTGTTCCATTGATCTATATCTCTGTTTTGGTACCAGTACCATGCTGTTTTGGTTACTGTAGCCTTGTAACATAGTTTGAAGTCAGGTAGTGTGATGCCTCCAGCTTTGTTCTTTTGGCTTAGGATTGACTTGGCGCTGCGGGCTCTTTTTTGGTTCCATATGAACTTTAAAGTAGTTTTTTCCAATTCTGTGAAGAAAGTCATTGGTAGCTTGATGGGGATGGCATTGAATCTGTAAATTACCTTGGGCAGTATGGCCATTTTCACGATATTGATTCTTCCTACCCATGAGCATGGAATGTTCTTCCATTTGTTTGTATCCTCTTTTATTTCCTTGAGCAGTGGTTTGTAGTTCTCCTTGAAGAGGTGCTTCACATCCCTTGTAAGTTGGATTCCTAGGTATTTTATTCTCTTTGAAGCAATTGTGAATGGGAGTTCACTCATGATTTGGCTCTCTGTTTGTCTGTTGTTGGTGTATAAGAATGCTTGTGATTTTTGTACATTGATTTTGTATCCTGAGACTTTGCTGAAGTTGCTTATCAGCTTAAGGAGATTTTGGGCTGAGACAATGGGGTTTTCTAGATATACAATCATGTCATCTGCAAACAGGGACAATTTGACTTCCTCTTTTCCTAATTGAATACCCTTTATTTCCTTCTCATGCCTAATTGCCCTGGCCAGAACTTCCAACACTATGTTGAATAGGAGTGGTGAGAGAGGGCATCCCTGTCTTGTGCCAGTTTTCAAAGGGAATGCTTCCAGTTTTTGCCCATTCAGTATGATATTGGCTGTGGGTTTGTCCTAGATAGCTCTTATTATTTTGAGATACGTCCCATCAATACCTAATTTATTGAGAGTTTTTAGCATGAAGCATTGTTGAATTTTGTCAAAGGCCTTTTCTGCATCTATTGAGATAATCACGTGATTTTTGTCTTTGGTTCTGTTTATATGCTGGATTACCTTTATTGATTTGCATATACTGAACCAGCCTTGCATCCCAGAGATGAAGCCCACTTGATCATGGTGGATAAGCTTTTGGATGTGCTGCTGGATTCGGTTTGCCAGTATTTTACTGAGGATTTTTGCGTCAATGTTCATCAAGGATATTGGTCTAAAATTCTCTTTTTTGGTTGTGTCTCTGCCTGGCTTTGGTATCAGGATGATGCTGGCCTCATAAAATGAGTTAGGGAGGATTCCCTCTTTTTCTGTTGATTGGAATAGTTTCAGAAGGAATGGTACCAGTTCCTCCTTGTACCTCCTCTGGTAGAATTTGGCTGTGAATCCATCTGGTCCTGCGCTCTGTTTCGTTGGTAAGCTATTGATTATTGCCACAATTTCAGAGCCTGTTATCGGTCATTCAACTTCTTCCTGGTTTAGTCTTGGGAGAGTGTATCTGTCGAGGAATTTATCCATTTCTTCTAGATTTTCTGGTTTATTTGCGTATACGTGTTTGTAGTATTCTCTGATGGTAGTTTTTATTTCTGTGGGATCAGTGGTGATATCCCCTTTATCATTTTTTTATTGTGTCTATTTGATTCTTCTCTTTTTTTCTTTATTAGTCTTGCTAGTGGTCTATCAGTTTTGTTGATCCTTTCAAAAAACCATCTCCTGGATTCGTTAATTTTTTGAAGGGTTTTTTGTGTCTCTATTTCCTTCAGTTCTGCTCTGATTTTAGTTATTTCTTGCCTTCTGCTAGCTTTTGAATGTGTTTGCTCTTGCTTTTCTACTTCTTTTAATTGTGATGTTAGGGTGTCAATTTTGGATCTTTCCTGCTTTCTGTTGTGGGCATTTAGTGCTATAAATTTCCCTCTACACAGTGCTTTGAATGTGTCCCAGAGATTCTGGTATGTTGTATCTTTGTTCTCGTTGGTTTCAAAGAACATCTTTATTTCTGCCTTCATTTCGTTATGTACCCAGTAGTCTTTCAGGAGCAGGTTGTTCAGTTTCCATGTAGTTAAGCGGTTTTGAGTGAGATTCTTAATCCTGAGTTAGTTGAAGTTGGTTGTAATTCTCAATTCTTTGCTTTAAACATCCATGTATTTTCTAAATCATCTACAATGAATTTTTGTATAAATTAACTTTATATACATATATATGTAGAAAGACTACCCTGCTACAGAAATTATATGAATTGAAATATTATAATAAATTATAATTATAATTAGAAAAAATAAGTATTTTGTAATCTTAAATATACAAGTCTTCTTTTGTGCTCTTTATATAGGCAGTGTGGCACAGGGAAAAGAAAACTGCCATTTTTGAAGCCAGAGTGAGTCAAATCCTAGACAGAAGCACTCAAGTGTAGATAGGAAAAAATTACTTAAAACCTAGCTGGGAGAAATTATTTAATCTCTGCAAATCATATTTTCTTTATATGTAATATGAAGACAATAATAAGACATACTTCATCAGGCTGCTGTGAAGTTTAAGTGAATTAATATTTGGAAAAAACAAGAAAATATCTAGCAGAGTGACTCTCAATGAGTTTTAATGTCAGTAATAAAATGCAGTATATGCTCTCCTTCTCTAATGTCTCTTAGTTGTGAAAGATCTCCCTCAACCATATATCTGAAATTATCATCACCTGAAATTGTCATTATCCTCAGAAGGGTTTCATATTAACTAATTTCTACTTAGGTGCCAATGGCTAAACCTACTTCTCTTCTATCAGTGAGGAAAGAGCAAAAAAGGGCTGAGCTGATAGGAATAAGTAGAAAATAAGAAACAGTATAGAAGTAGGGAAGGGAAGGAGAGTGCAGAGAAAAAGAGATAGATGCAAATAAAAAAAATGTTTTTCCAGTGGCTGACAATGATGCTTGTTTCCAAAATTTAAATGTGAAATGCTTCTTGTTCAATGATTTTTCCCACAAATAATATCTACCAGAAATACTACTATTACTTTTGTTTTAAAATGTAGAGTTGTTTTTTAAGGAAATACATACAAAGTACATTCCTTTAGGAAGTACATTCTTTAGGAAGGTCCACACTAATGTGAATGAGGAAGCATCTATTAACTGTCTTATATGTATCCTGGTGTGTCAGGTACTTTGGTTTAATATATTCTTATAGTTTATAAGAGAAAACATATGGTCTCTGAGAAATTATATGACATAAAACTTTTAAATATAGATCCCCCCAAAATTGCTTTCTTTTATGTGGTAATTGAAATTGTCTATTTATCTCTCTTTTTATTTACCATCAAGAAATAAGTCATGAGGAGAAATTATAGCAGCAGAACTTTTCCCCTACTTCATGTATTCATTTTTTAAAAATCATCTTCCTTTATTTATTTACTTTAGTTCATTATGGCTTAACTCAGTCTCACCCAATTACATGAGCTGTTCATAATGGTGTCTTACTTCAGCAGTCCAGCCAGCTGTGATTGAAGTCAGCCAGGAATGCCGACTACAGATCAGAGCACCTGTGAGATTATCAGTTCCATGTGGAATGTCAGACGTATTCTAAACTAGAGTAATTGACTTGGCCAGGATGAGGGGTCAGGAGTGTCATTAAAAATATATAGCTTGGTATGATTAGCTGCAGAGAAGAACATTCAAGAGCTAGGGGCCCTGGAATCTCCATCAACTTCACAGGTTTAGGTGCTTGGAAGTGGATTTTGGAGGGATTGCTGTGATCTTTGACAAACTTAATGTATCATTCACTTAGGCTGTCATTCAGCAAACCTTCTGTGAAAATAGATTCATCACAAAAGGCCATGACATTAAAGCTGTATACAACTCTTGAACAGAGTCAAAAAAAAAAACTGGATCTTTATGACTTCCTGAGTGTTCTCTTTTACAAAATCAGGACCACAGACATGTGCATGCCTGCATGCAAATGTACACAAAGACACACATTCACACACGCACACTCTCACAAACATACCCCTTGTTGTAGAAAATAGTATAGTCAAAGTCATAGCCTGATTCTGGCAATTATCTGAGACCCAACAGCATGTGTTTTACATATTTATACTCACTATTGATTTAAATTTTGTTATTCACTCCCTTTTCCTATTGTCTTATTTTCTTCCTTAACATATTTTTATATTTCCTATTTTAGCGATTTTAAATTCTTTCTGGAACGACGTTGGCACAAATCAAAAATTAAATCTTATAAAGTGCTCTATGGTCATAGGCAAAATGGAATCTGTAGATAATCAAGTTCCTGAAGGGATGTGAAACCAACTGCTACAAGGATAAGCTAGAAGAATCAGAGATTTTTGGCCTGAAGCACACACAGAAGACTACTTTTAGAGGGGTCTGATGTCACTAACTTCTTGAGATTGCTGCCATTTTTAACATACAGCTAGCTGGATAGAAGAAGACAGTCTCAGATAAATGACCAGTTCAGGCCACCAATGTCTCCTTCCAAAAAGGCCTGTACTGCTGTACATGCCAAGGGTTAGAGATTTTGGGGCCAACTTTTTCCAGCATGTCTTATATCCTTCAATAAGTTGGTTACTTTGCAAAACATTAGACCACTTAATAATCAATTTCCTCCATGGATTCACTCATACTTTGTCCTCACACTATTCTGGACTCCTTTCTCTTGATTTTATTTCTCCAAGTGATTCAATTGTGTCTTTTGGGACACTTATAAGTAAACATTTCCACATCCTCAGCTTTATCACAGAATTTTCACTTCCTTGCCTTAAGTGTCCCTGGAGGCTGCTGATCTTACAAGTAAATGTCTGGAGATAGGGTTGACAGCTCTTGAAGGCAGTGCCATTATGAAATCAATCCTAGTCTAAGTAGACATTTTGGGTACCATGCCTTCTTATCTACTTTTGGGCTGTGAGCATCCAGTCATTTTATTTTACCGTACAACTAGAGGTAACTTCTTAAAGTACCAAGTATATCATTCCCTGGTTTAAAGACCTTTAACTGTTAACTATTGCTCTGCATATAAAATCTTAACTTTTGCCATAACTAACAGGGATCTTCTTGATCTAATTCCATCTCAGATCTTAATGTTGTCTACCTGCTGTGCCTGAGGTTTACTGAGTTGCTGACACTTCCTAAAACATGCCTTGTTCTCTTACTTTTGGGCCTTCCGGACACCAGCTTTGCTTTCTTGGCCCCACTGAGGGGGCTTATTTTGTAGATGTCGTTATTTTCGGAGAGGCTTCTATGAACCACCACCCTCTCTGCAAATTAGGTACTTTTTCTTAGTGCACTCGTCCTCCTTGATCTTATCCTACTGCGACAAAATAATTCTTGTAATTGTATGTGTCCACAAATACACTATACATTTTCTATGAATGAAGATTATATCTGCAGCATTCAGTAGCATAACAGAGACTCAATAAATATGTATTGAAATGAATTAAATTTAATAGCTGATTACAAATAACTGGCTCTAACATAAAAGTAGAGATAAGTTTGCTTTCATTCATGTAAAGTAGCAGATGTGAAACCAATGAGGGAGCATTATTGGGGGCATATTTTAATCAAAACTACTGAAAAATCTGAAAGAATTATGTAAAGATAAAGTATGCTGTCTTGAGATGTGGTGAGTTTTTCACCAGAATGACTAAAATATGCCTTAGATCATTAGTCCCCAAACCTTCCTTCTTGTGTACAGACTTCTATTAGTTTTATTTTTCTTCTTTTTAAGTAGATATATTTCTATAGCCAAAAAATATAGATTTGTTTCCGTTATAAAAATGTGCTATTGCGCTAGTATGTTATAATAATCATGAAGCCTGCTATAATACATAAAATAGACTACTTAGAGAATAAATGTAAAAAATTTTCTAGTACTTTTTCCTGTGTCTTAATGAATTGCTTTGTGTACCACCCTGGGTCCTTGCTCTACATTTTGAAATAATTGTAAGGCTATGATTAAATTTTAAACATGATAATATTTTTAATGAATATAGTATAGATTTTTGCCTTGAAATTCTTATTTTGAAAACAATATTGAATTTAGGCCAAAGAAAAATGTACTTACTTTGTTATCCTTTTTAGCAAAATCAAATTGCTAATGGCAGTGTTTAGCGTTTTCTGTATGTTGATGACTATGCTTCAGTGGCGTAAAATCTAATGCAATAAACCAGCATTTACTAGTTGTGGCATAATGCAAGAAAGCATCATTTTGCTAAGGGATATCTAGGGATTACTAGTTCTCTCTCTTTCTGGTCAGATTTAGTCCTAAACTCCATAAGGCATTTACTAACATCTACTTTCAAATGATGAACAACTGTCCTGATCAAAGGAAGATGAAAACACAAAATTCTTTATTCTGGAAAACACATCTCCCTAGAGTGTCTCCGCTGCACACTCTTCCACCTTGCATATTTGTATATTCAGACACTAGAAAATTCACGTGAAAGGAGCCTCCACTTTACCAATTATCAGAAATATGCAAGTGAATTTAATATCACTAATAGTTGGCATGTCAATGATTAGATAATCTATTTGAAATGCTTATTCTATAAAGTTGTATTTTAACCAACAGTTTTATGAAGAGTGTTCAGTCCTCATAAAATCATCTCAGTTCCCATTTGTGCACTCAGAAACTTACCACTGTGTTCTGTTTTTATCTTTATAATCTATATTTAACAATTGCATTGTATCTTCCCTGGTCTCCAGCTCTAAGCAAATAAATACTCTTCTTCTTTCTTTTTTCTTGTATATAAATGATTACAGAGAATGGGACAGAGAGAGAAAATGAAGAGACATAGTTAGAGAGATACACAGGCACAGAGAGAGAGAGAGAGAAAAAGAGGAGGAGAAGAGAAGAGAGAAGAGACAGAGGAGAGAGAATGCAGAGAATTTACAATTACTATAGAAAATGTGCACATTTTTCATAATAAAAATGAGTAAATACTTTCATGATATTATTATCACAGACTGATGATCTGACATAGATTTCGTGCCGTCTACCTGGGTCTCTACACGACAAACCTGAGTTAGATGTAATGTAGAGATATGTTTCCACATTGCCCTTCTTGGGGAAGGTGAGCCAGTTCTGAGGTGCCTGGTCCTAGTTGTCACAGATGCAGTTATTTCACACTAGGCTGCCTGCCAGCCTGGATTTGTCTTCCTTTTTTTTTTTTTTGTTTTCAATCTCCCTGGGCTTGCGTCATTACATCAACACATTCTGAAACATCTGTCAGAATCCTTGCCAGTTCAAATTTACAAAAGTGCAATAATATTCTATCTCCCCATCACCACCAAATCTTGCTAAAATAAAATCATACATTTATTTATAAAAGTTTGTTGTTAAGAAAAAAACTGAAAACATCATGAAGGTCTGAGAGAAATAAAGTGGAATTTAGAAGTATTGTATCCATGTCATATGACATATAAAAGTTTGTAATCATTAAAGATGATGAGTAATATATGGTAAGGAATATTTGGAAAACTTCTTTCAGTGTTAAAAAAGAAAAATAAAGAAGAGTCAAATTGTATTGCCTCAGTTTTATTAAACACTTATGTATTTTACATACATTTAAAAAACTTAGCCGGGTGTGGTGGCGCGCGCTTGTAATCCCAGCTACTCGGGAGGCTGAGGCAGGAGAATCACTTGAACCTGGGAGGTGGAGGTTGCAGTGAGTGGAAATTGTGCCACTGAACTCCAGCCTGGGGGATAGGGCAAGATTCTGTCTCAAAAAAATAAAGGAAAAAAAAATTTTAATTTGAATAGTTCGCTAGTGCTAAATGTTTATGGTTTTGAATCTGAATGTTTTCATAACATTTTATTTTTAGCGTATTTTTTAGGTTTCCATATTCCAGTGTTGCTGCAACAAATACGTAATGTTTATAATCAGAAAAGCATTGTTAAATAACCTCTGCAAAAACTCTTTAATCTCCCTAATCTAGGGATAGGGAATTATTTTATCTATAATTTTAATTCTAATTGTTAGAGTGTGGCTGCCTGGAGCACTGACTTGAAAATAAATCTGAAACCCATCAGGAAAAAATAATGTCAATTAACATTGGTTGTCATTTGTTCAAGAGGAAAAAGTCGGAGCATGATACCCCATATTTGCCATGCATTCTGAAATGTTTTCTTTTGTCTTTTACTTTAAAAAAAGATGGATGATTTTATTTATATATTAGAACTCATGATCTATATTTTCAACTCTGCTCCAGTAAGTCTCTTATTCATTTGGTTAAAGCACCAATTACACTTACCCCGTAGTTTCTGATTTTTGATAGGACATTAGGAGAAAGACCATACATTTAAGGGCAATGAAAATAAATATCTAAGATGAAGTGATTATTATAACTTTGCAATATGGATTGAACCTGGACTAAGTACTAGTGCTATATCAGGAAGCTGGATCAATTTGACACCTACTGAAAGTGACACATGGGCCTTGCTAAAGAAAGAGTTTAAATCTGGTAGTGCTTCAGAATTTTTATTTCAGTGAGGTTCTGTAAAATTAAATTCATCTGGCATTGTGGGAAAAAGTTGTATTATATATGAACCAATTTCTTAAATAAGTGCAACTTAATCTTCTAAGAAACTTTAAAATATTTAATCTTGTTGGGTATTTTTTTTTCCATTTTTTTCTTGCTATTTCTTTAGGGAAAAAAAACAGAATATATAACACTCTTCATTAGTATGGAACACACATACTATTTTATTTCCTATTTTAAAACTTAATTACTCAAATACTCCATGAATTTATTAGCAATTGATCCAATATTTCCCTCTTTAATGTCAATTGCTGCTCCCTTTTCCTTATGCATAGTACATGGATCCTCAGGATTCACTTACGCAGTCCACTGAGCAGTGGCCATTCACACTTTTAATGTGAGGAAGAGTGAGAGAAAGGAAAACAGAAATTATTTCATACCAAAAGAGCCCCTGATTTTTCACTGCTTCTTTTGTTATTCACATACAGGAGGATATGTTCCTAATCACTTTTATGATGTGAACATGCCTGCACAGTTGCCACTGCTGCATCATGTTGGGGTTCCCAAATTTAGACCTTTTTCCACTTACACTTTGTTCTCAACCACTGTGCCCTCAAAATGACCACTATTCCAGCATATCTGAGGTAAGAGAGAGCTTCTTGCCTGAGACACAAAGTGTGCCCAGAACTAGAATTCTGCTTCTAATACTCAAACTCTGGTGTTATGTTGGAGTTACCAGCCCAGACCTCTTCCTTTGTAATAAGTTTCCATTTGTGATCAGCAATGGCCCTTTCTGGAACCATCTCAAGCCATCAGTGAAGTTTGACTAACTTTGAAAGGATGGGGGCCTTGATCTTTTATTTTCTGAAGATTCCTGGCACACTATGCTAATGTACTCATATTCATTCCTCATACCTAGCTTTGTAAATGTAGAACTCAAACTTTTAAGAAGACACTCTCCACAGGAAGTGGATATCTCTTTCCCAACATAAGTGAGGCCACAGATTAGCACAGACAATTAAAGAGGTAAAATCTGCCAAACGTTTTTTTTTTTATTCTAGCTTAGAAATGATTGGCAAGACTTAAGTTTTTTCCAATACAACTTTTAACTTATCTCTATTACAAATATACACACAATTATTAATTAATTTATTAGTTTTCATTGATACCTAATAATTTTACTTTTTTATAGAGCACACAGGATGTTCTGTACACATATAGAATTTGTAACGATCCAATCAAGGTATTTAGGTTATTCATCATCTCAAACATTTATAATTTCTTTGTGTTGAGTATGTCTCCAATCTTCTACCTCTTCTGAAATATACAATAAACTCTATTTTTAACTACAGTCACTCTACTTGTCTCATATGGTACCAAACTAGATCGTTGTTGTCTTGATAACACAGCATTATCATTATAGCTGTAATACATAATGCTGTACCTCCTCTCCTAACCCTGGAAGTTGCAATTCATCCTTCAATGCTCAGCTCAAAGGATTATTGTCTCTAAAGTTTTAGCAAATGCTGAAGCAGAATTTCACCATTTAATGGGTTCACAAGCTGCTGCCTTTATAGCTTATGGTACATATGTTTGCCAATATAAATGATCCACTTGAGCTAAATTGCCACAGCTGCTACAACACCTCTTTACCTATTTTTGGAGCAAAACTGAAAATCAGAAAAGTTTAACTTTTTCAAAATAATGAAAAATTTCTCTCCAATCCTCTCCATCATTATACATTAATAGGAAAAGAAAGGACAAAGACAAGGTTACAAATGTGAAAGGGTTATTTTTTTCTATTCTGATAGAAATAAGTTTAGAGCACCTGCATGAACAACTTGTATTGAACAGCAATGCAAGGAACTGCATACCGAAAAGAAGAATCTCTTAGTGACAAGAACCGTGTTGACCATGCAACACTATTAGCAAGTTTATTTTCATTCTTTATGTAGATGTCAGGGATATGTAGCAAAAATACATTTTTAAGTGCAACAGAGTAGATGCTTGCAAAAACAGACTGTGATAACTATCTATTTGCAAAAGTCAGTACAGATATGATTATCTCAGCATTAAATTGGCTGATGTAAAATGGAAATCATGAAAATTAAGTCACCACACAATAAAATGACAATAGGTTCCTAAATCAATCATGAAAAATTTTCCCAATGAAGAAGGGACAACATAAAATTTTCCTTTGAGAAAGTCTCAGTAATATTTGCTTAATATGCTGATAGGCTTATCAAGCTTCTTGAAAAAAAACTGATTTACAATACAGTGGGGATTATTTTTTTTAAGTTGGAAGGGAAAGAAGGTTTGATGTAAGAGTGCTTTGAAATGTGGAGTTTTCCTAAGTATTACTCCCACAAGACCATAGTCTTGAAATTAAATTAGGCCTTTAGAATATCAGACAAAATAAATGGATTGTAATTTATTTCAATAGCTGAATGCTTACTATTTTTCAAAGGATTAATTGAGATATATAATTCTTTATATAAGTAAAAGAAATTTTCTAACTTTCAGAAACATCTAAACTTAGTTTTCCACTAAGTTGTCTCTAACTCAACCCTCTTTTCACTTTTTTTATTATTTTAGAGCAGTAACATTTACTTCTGGAAAATCATCCAAATAAAACCAATTTACTTTCATAAAATCTAGACTTTTTGGATGTTAGAAGCATGATTTACCATCTCCTATTGGGACCTTATTCCAGAAATGATTTGCTCTTTCATTTGCTAATTGCATGACGATTAGAATCTGGACCCAAGACCTTTTTAATGCATATAATTAAATATTTCAAACTTCTTACACTTTTGATCTTCTGGTATCATATATTCAATTAATAGCATAATTCACATTCCCCTACATACCATGAAACTACCTTTTTCCTGATTATATTAATGTATACTAAACATAAAAAAAGAAATTATATAAAATAGTATTAGGACAATCACTTGAAATTTTCCACCGAGGGACAACTAGTCAAAATATTTCAGTGACCTCTGATATAACACTATCTGTGCATAGATATATTCACTTATAAAACATTTCTACATATGTGGTAATAATTACAAAAGTGAGCACAATTTTAAAAATAGCTTTCTCTTCACTCTTTAAACTTACCTCTTTATTTCTCTTCTGCTTTTCTATTTCCACATTTCTCATTTTCAATGGCCAGTATTTAGGGGCTTTGTGCTATCTTTCTACACTTTAAATTTTTTATATCAAATTTCATATGTACTTTTACAGTTTCAGAAGTCTTATTGTTTTTTACATGAGTGAGATCACAAGGTTTTATACTTAGTTTTAAAAAAATTTTCTCCTTCAACAAATATAACTGGAATCCCTGTGAGTCAACCAAAATAGTTTTAACTAACTCTTCATAATGGCTAGCTAAATGGAATTCTGTGGTAATACAAATTATTCTAAAATTCCAATATTTACACCCATTTTTTTTCACTCATGAAAGCACTGCAATAAGCAGCTTTTATAGATATTCTTAGGTACTATTAGGTGCTTTTCTTTTGGTGGAATGAAACCCCAGGAGTGAGACTGCGGGTTGAAAGATATGTGGATTTTTTAAATAGATAACTGTCAGAATATTTTTATTAAAAACTTTAGTATTTCACATTCTTGAAGCACTGTATGTGAATATCCTTTCTCCACATTCCCATTGGCAAGGGCTGGTTGGTTTTTGATAGCATGAAATTTGATTTTTGGCATGATATCATTTAGGAATACAATTTTATTTTCATTCCATAGGAATAAGCAAAATCCCATGACAGTTTATTGAAAAATATGTCAGTTCCCACTGACATACTGGGAAACATCAGTCTTATATCAAATGTCCATATGTGCATACATCTATTTTTGGACTTTATCTTTTGTTCTATTTGCCTACTCCAGGACCTACCCCATTATCATACAATAACTATTACTTGGCTTCTATCCAACTGTGGTATCTGGTAGAACAAATCCCTACACCTATTCTTAATGATGATGTGGACTGATCCGGACTTTTCTTTTCCATATAAGTTTTAGTATTAGTTTGTTAATTCCACATAACCCAGTTTGGATATTTGTAGGAATTGTATGAAATATACATCAATTTTAGGAAAATTGGCCTTTTAATATACAGGCTTTTGGTATCCACAGGGGAATGGTTTCATCTACCCACCACAACACTCCCCCACCTATGGATACTGAAATCCTAAATCCTCCGATGCTCAAGTCTCCTGTATAAAGTGGTGTACTACTTGCATATAACCTACAGCAATTTCCCCATATACTTTAAGTAATCTCTAGTTTATCTTTATAATACCTACCACAATGTAAGTGCCAGGTAAATAGTTGTTACACTGTATTGGTTTTTTAAATTGTATTATTTTTCCTTGTTGGTGTTTTTTATTTTTATTTTTTCAAATGTTTTCTATTTGCAGTTGGTTGAATTCATGGACGTAGAACCTACAGATACAGAGGAATAATTGTGATAAGACATGTATCTTTTTTATTTTTCTACTTACTTAAAACTTCTTTAATATCTTGTTTCAAATTTCAGTCAGTTTCGGAGGAACAGATGCGTTTGGATACATGGATAAGTTCTTTAGTAGTGATTTCTGAGATTTTGGTGCACCCATTACCCAAGGGGTGCACACTGTACTCAATGTGTCTTTTATCCCTCAACCCCTCCTACCCTTTCCCACGAGTCCCCAAAGTCCATTGTGTCATTCTTATGTCTTTGTGTCTTCATAGCTCAGCTTCTGCTTATAAGTGAAAACATATAATTAAAACTTCTTTAATATATTTTAATAATGCTTTAAAATACTTCCCCGCAAAGGTCTACCACATATTTTGATAGACTTGTTACTATTATTTTATTGTAAATATTTTGCTTTATTTTGTCTTGTTGTTATTCTATATTTGTATTATGATGTGTTAAGCATTATTATTATTATTATTATTATTATTTTTTTTGAGACGGAGTCTCGCTCTGTCGCCCAGGCCAGACTGCGGACTGCAGTGGCGCAATCTCGGCTCACTGCAAGCTCCGCCTCCCGGGTTCACGCCATTCTCCTGCCTCAGCCTCCCGAGTAGCTGGGACTACAGGCGCCCGCCACCGCGCCCGGCTAATTTTTTGTATTTTTAGTAGAGACGGGGTTTCACCTTGTTAGCCAGGATGGTCTCGATCTCCTGACCTCATGATCCACCCGCCTCGGCCTCCCAAAGTGCTGGGATTACAGGCGTGAGCCACCGCGCCCGGCCGTTAAGCATTTTTTTTAAGTTCACCATGAATGTTTTTTTTTAATGCATTTAAGGATTGTGTGTTTCATTAATTCTAGTTAGTTATCAGACAAAATATCTTCAGATACTGCCTTCCCCCATTTTACTGTATGGCTCTCTAGAACTTCCTTTTCATAGATACTGTTTTGTTTTAAAGGTTACTCTATCTTCCTTATGTCAACTTCATGCTTTTCCTTTTTTATCCCTCTGGAATAATATCTTCAGATTTATTTTACAATTAAATAATTTTATCTTCAAGCATGTTTTATCTGACATTTATCCTGTCTATGAAGTTTATAATTGTTCTTACTTTATTTTTCATTTCCAGAAGGGGTGTTTTGTTCTGTTTCAAGACTTTTTTACAGGATTTTAACAGAATTTTAATGCTTGTTTATTTTTAAAAAACAATTGAATAATCATTGTATACTTTCTATCTGGATTTAACATACCTGTAAAGCAAAAGTTAGCTTTGTGGTGATGGATTTGTGCTTTTTATAAAAGAAATGTTTCTGGATTCTTTTTTTCTTGAGCTATTTTAAATGCCTTTATTATTATTAATATTTATTATTATTATTACCTGTGCAGAATGTGCAGGTTTGTTACATAGGTATACATGTGCCATGGTGGTTCACCGTACCCATCAGCCCATCATCTACATTGGGTATTTCTCCTAATGCTACCCCTCCCCTAACCCCCTACCCCTGACAGGCCCCAGTGTGTGATGTTCCCCTCCCTGTGTCCATGTGTTCTCATTGTACAACTCCCACTTAGGAGTGAGAAAATGCGGTGTTTGGTTTTCTGTTCTTGTGTTAGTTTGTTTAGAGTGATGGTTTCTAGCTTCATCCATGTCCCTGCAAAAGACATAAACTCATCCTTTTTTGTGGCTGCATAGTATTTCATGATGTATATGTGCCATATTTTCTTTATCTAATCTATTATAGATGGGCATTTGGGTTGGTTCCAAGTCTTTGCTATTGTGAACAGTGCTGCAATAAACATACGTGTGCATGTGTCTTTATAGTAGAATGATTTATAATCCTTTGGGTATATGCTCAGTAATGGGATTCCTGGGTCAAATGGTATTTCTGGTTCTAGATCCTTGAGGAATTGCCACACTGTCTTCCACAATGGTTAAAATAACTTACACCTCCACCAGCAGTGTAAAAGTGTTCCTACTTCTCCTTATCCTCTCCAACATCTGTTGTTTCCTAACTTTTTAATGATCGCCATTCTAACTGGCTTGTGATGGTATCTCATTGTTATTTTGATTTGTATTTCTCTAATGACCAGTGATGATGAGCTTTTTATCATATGTTTTTGGCCACATAAATGTCTTCTTTTGAGAAGTGTCTGTTCCTATCCTTCGCCCACTTTTTGATGCAGTTGTTTTTTCTTGTAAATTTGTTTAAGTTCTTTGTCGATTCTAGATATTAACCCTTTATCAGATAGATAGATTGTAAAAATTTTCTGTCATTCTGTAGGTTGCCTGATCACTCTGATGATAGTTTCTGTTGCTATGCAGAAGCTCTTTAGTTTAATTAGATCCCATTTGTCAGTTTTGGCTTTTGTTCCCATTGCTTTTGGTGTTTTAATCATGAAGTCTTTGCCCATGCCTATGTCCTGAATGGTATTGCCCAGGTTTTCTTCTAGGATTTTATGGTTTTAGGTCTTACGTTTAAGTCTTTATTTCAGGGATCATTTCTATAGTTGGTTACTATTTCTGGATTCTTAAGGCTTTATGAACTTTCAACTCTGCCCTGATTTGAAATAATGTTTTTAAAGCGGTTAACACAGCATTTTTAGTTGTCCTCTTTCAAGAATGTTTTTCTGGACATATAGTCTACCAAACTGCTGGTAAGAAGAGCTGGAATTTTAAACACTGAAATCGTAGATTTTAATTTCAGAAAATATGATTCACGCTGAAGTATTTTTCCTTCTTCCTTTGGTAAGTTTTATCTTATGTGAGATCCATCTTCTCTGATAGCTTGATTTCTCTAGAAGCTTGCTGTTTCTAAATAATATGCATATTTTTATACACTAATTTCTCTATTCTCCTAAGAGCATTTTTAAATTCCTTGGCCAGCCTGTGACTCTATATCGCATAGATTTCAGGTAAGGCTGTTAAGGTCTTTCAAGTAGATATTCCACAAATTGTGGTAGATACAATGGCTTCTAGTTCTTAAAAGTTACTTGTACACAATTACCAACGCGTCTCTTCTCAAATAAAACAAGAAGAAGAAGTTTCTGGTCTGAGTTCTTCATGGCAGCAGTTTACGTTATTGGATCTCAGGAATAGGCAAATATTCAGTTCACCTGTGCACCTTCATCAACGCTCTTCTCAAGCCAGAGAGATTCAATACCTTTTACCTTTCCTCTTCTTTGTACTTGAGTCTTGAAGTAAAAGCTGTCTACAAAGAAGTTTGTCTTTCATTAAAATTGGTCTCCTAGTAATGGTCAGGCTCAATCAGGGGGAAGTACTACATGTGACCAATTCTTTTTGCCTAGGGTGATTTATAAAATTCACAACTCTCTAGAACTTGTCTTCCAAACTGCCCACTTAATGTTCCACTCAGAAGCGGAACTGGAATAAAAATAGTAGAAGGCATTACACATATGTTTGGGCTACCATGTCCCCAGAATACCTTCTCACTGATTTGTCAGATTAATTATTGAGTTTCCTGCAAAATTAAACTGCTATTTGTATAAAGACTCCATTAATCTCTTTTTAAAAAGTCCCTTGTTCAATCTAAAAAAATTTTTCATTATTCATTTACTTTTCAATATTTTAATTTTGTTGACCACCTGGTTGAAAATGTTTCTGCTCATCCAGCTGTTATTTCTAATTACTTTTCTTCAAAAAAATTCAATCACTAACTGAGTCTGCTGAAAAAACAGAATTATTGTTCCTTAGGATATAATCAGCTACATCTTCCTTGTCACCTGAGCTCATTTTCACCTGTATGAGCCATCTGTGATTTCAGCCACAGTTGGGTTTATTATTACAATTATGAGCTGATGTCATAAGAAAAGGAAATCGATTTAGCTGGAGTAGATAGACTCTTCTTAAAAAATTATTTAAGAAAATACATTTAGAAATATAAGAAGGACATTGAAAGATTGTACTAAACAAGTCATTATATCTAAATTTTAAACATTCTTCTATAAAGGAGCAGTAGAACACAATACTTAAAAGCACTAAGCCACACTGCTTAGGTTCAAATATTTTTCTTAAAAAAAACTATTTATTGGCTTTGTAATCTTGAATGAATTATTTAATTGCCACTGCCTCAATTTTATATGTATAAAGTAAGAATAATAGCCTTTACCTATTTCATAGGGTTGTCATATACGAGAAAGCACTATTTAAATATAATTATTATTAGGGAAATGAGCTGTATTGAAATGAGTTTATTTCAGAATCCATTAAAGGAAATAGAATAATTCAATATAGGGAGTCAGTATAGAGCAAGATTCACCTGCCTTGACATACTGACATCATAACATAGTAGCAATGAAACCTTGGGAAAGCAAGCCTATTAATTCCTCTGTTCCTAAATTATTTCCTTTGTAAAATTGGGATAATAGTACCATCCTAATAGGATTGTTTTCAATATTAGAACCATGAATGTACTATTAGTGCTGTGCAACCCAGTACAAAATAGCTTTTGACTAAGTTTGATCTGTATTTATTTGTTACAGTCCTTGTTAAAACTGCGTGGGTAAAATATGAATATAAAAATGCCCACTCCCTTAATATGATCCCACAAAAATGAATCAAATAAAACAGGAGAAAGTTTTACTTCCATGATTTCTGACGTGAAATGAAATTGTTAAGAAAATACTAATTCTTGAATAAGGTAGTTCAATACCTTTAATGCTTCTTCACTTACTCTAAATCATGTTTTTTTAATTTCTGAATGAGAGGAGAGAGAGAGAGAGGAAAGGAAAGAGAGAGAGAGAGACAAAGAAAGAAAGAAAAAGAAAGAAAGAAAGAAAGAAAGAAGAAAGAAAGAAAGAAAGAAAGAGAAAGAAAGAAGAAAAGAATAAGGAAGGAAGGAGGGAAGAAGAAGGAAGAAAGAAAAGGAAAGGAAGGAAAGAAAGAGAGGGAGATACGGAGAGGGCGAGGGAGAAAGTAAGAAAATAGATTTATATTCATTACACCATTTTTTTTTTTACAGTAAGACACTGGAAGCTAATTATATGTCCATCAATAGAAGAAAATAATTCATTACCCCATTTTTGTTACCGTAAGAAGAAACTGGAAACTACTTAAATATCCATCAACAGCATACAGGGAATTGGTTACATATATAATGATGCATGGTAAATACTCAGCTTTACTCAAATATTGTGACTGAGGATACAGTGTCAATCCAGTAATTAGAATGTGCAGCACCAGCTCAAGCATGATTTGAACTGGAATTTTGTAGTGGGAAAGGGAGAGATAGAGGATGCCTCCTTCTCCTGATTTCCTCTCTCCCTTTTCCAGCTGCTAGCAGGCTGGTTCTCTCCCAAGGAGCTTTCACAGGTATTTGGATGTTCCCTTGACCAAGCAAATTATTACAAATGATGCACTGAGCTACTTCCTTAGATCCTGGGCATCCGATAACACATCTCCAACCTCTAATTTTTTTATCTAAGAGTTTCTTGTCTTTTTGCTAGTTTTACTGGACACTCAAAATGGCCCCTTCACTCCTCTATAGTTCATGTCTGGTTCCAGTAAAGAAAATCACACATCTCTTGATTCAACAAAATGTCAGAGTACCAAACAGAAACATTACAGCAAATAGTCACCTCTTCTCTGTTCACGGTTCACTGTCTATTTTAGCTCTCTTGGGAATGGATCTGGCACCAGTCCTCTGTGTTTTCCAGCTATGTGGACTGTATTTCACAGCTTTCTAATGGTCTCAAGGGGCTTGGGGCTTCTTAACCACAGCATTATTGATATTTTAGCTGGAAAATTATTTGTTGTCACGGACTGTCCTATATGTTGTAGGATGGTTAGCAGTACCCTTAGTTTTTACTTACTAGATTCCATGAGCACTTTCTTAATTGTGAAAACTGAAAATGTCTCCAAACATTGCCAAATATCTTGTGGACAGTAAAACTGCCCACAAGTTAAGACCGCCTGGTTAGAAGGTAGCATCCTGCTGTGCCCATAGGAAGAAAATTCAGTGAGACAGCAGAGTAGCAATTCTCCAGATACAGTTTGGATCTGTGCCTTGCCCAAATCTTATGTAGAATTATAATCCTCAGTGTTGGAGGTGGTGCCTGGTGGGAGCTGATTGGATCATGGGGGCAGATTTCCCCCTTTGGTGCTGCTCTAGTGAAAGAGTTCTTGCAATATATGGTTGTTTAGAAGTATGCAACACCTCTAACCTAGCTCTCTCTTCCTTCTGCTCTGGTGGCCAGGTAAGATGTGCCTGCTTCTCCTTCTCTTTCTGCCATGATGGGAAGCATCCTCAGGCCTCCTCAGAAGCAGAAGCTTATGCTTCCTGAACAGCCTGCAAAGCCATGAGCCACTTAAACCCCTTTTCTTTAAAAATTACCCACTCTCAGGCATTTCTTTATAGCAACCTGAGAAGGGACTAATACATCTCCTTAAGTAAGTCTCTCTAGCAACCTCTTCTCTCCTGTTCTCTTCACCATTTTATCTTCCAAGTGGAGCAGGCTTTTAAAAATCATGGAACATATTTATCTAATTACTACTGAAATTCAGGTGTGCTTCACACTTATTTAGATACCATCATATCAATGGAAGCAGGAGGAGTCTAACATTCTATATTATGTACAATATATATGTGTTTGTATGTATCTCAATAGATTAATTTTTAAATATTTCCTAAATAAATGACATAGAGCCATATTTACCTACATGGAAAGGTATATAAGAAATACTTTAATCAAAAAAAAATCAGAATTTAAACATTAATTATATGAGCCACTTTTAAAATTTTTATTGTTTTAATTGACAAGTAAAAATTGTGTAGGTTTATGGTATAGAACATGATGTTTCCATATGTGCACACAGTGTGGAATGGCTAAATTAAGCTATTTAATAAATTCAAGACCACACATACTTAACAATTTTTGTGTTGAGAATACTTAAAATCTACTCTCTTAGCAATGTTCAAGTATACATTTTAATGAAAATAGTAATTTGCTTTTTTAAAGGAATATATATCCATACTTACAGATATACATATGACTTGGAGTAATAGAGAGAAAATATTAATAATTTTTTCCAGGGCAGTTTAATATTTATATAATGTAATTACTAATGCTATTCAAAAATAAATATTTAAATGTAGTAATTTACTGCCTTAAAAATCCCCAAAATGTATTTATGAAATAATATGGGTGGTTGTTATTTCCCAGAATTAAAAATCAGAAGGGAAACTTGAGAAATGTCTAGTGACTATGGTTCAGTTGAGAAAGCATAGGAGAAAGAGGTCAATAGGTTATCAGTAAATAGATGTATTCGTTATATCCATACACCACTTACAAGACATTTATAAGAACAACTGAATTCTAAGGAAAGCTTGTTGAAGGTTTCAAATAAGTGGCATTAATATTTAAAAGAACAAAAAATTTTAAATTTTATTTTTAACGGACAAGCAGTATGAAAAAATCGTGAATCCAGGCTGTAAAAAGCACTGAAGTTAAAACTAGAAAGAATAATATCATCAAACAATATAAAACAAGAAGCCACTTCCTAATAATTGTCAATAAATTTACAATTCCATATCTTTGTTAAAATCATATTTGAAATGAAATCATGTTACATTTTAAAATGCAGTGTTTTATGCAATTTTCAATAAATACTTCCTACCTCATTTATTAAGTTTATTTATTTCTTCAACTTTTAAATAAACTTTTCTATGACCTTTGGCACACACGTTCTATCTACCTATTTGTATTTTTCCTGATTTCTACTCTGGGCTATAATATAGGAAATAAATCAATAGATTTCATTTTGCCAAATGTCAATTTTTAAGTTTGGAGAACTCGTTATTAAATTCTCATCTGCTTACACTTCAGCACCCAGTGGATTTCATCTCTTTTCGTCCTTCAACTAATATGTATTATTTCTGCTTATGTCTTTCTAGACTTCCTTGCTTAGGGTTTACCACTCCTCTCTTTCTTTCTCTATACCCATTGGATTTATGCATACTTCTATGAAATGCTCATGAAAATATCACTTTCACTAATAAGTGAACTCATTCAGAGGAAGAACCTGGAGATACCTCAAGGCAAAGTTTGGAGTTTTAGGAACATTCTGGTTTAAGGCTACTGTATGAACTTTAGCGCCTGAAAGATGAATTTTAATTTTACTGTTCTTTATTAGTATAAAGAAACTAATATTTGTATGTATACTTTCATCTTTCCCATAGCAAATCACTTTCTCTATTTGCTTATTCTCTTGTCTCAATACCTCTGTTTGGTGATGATAAATTCTCTAGTTTTTCAATATCTCTTTAATCTCCCTCAATTAATTTTCTATTTTAAATTTCTGGGAGAGAAAACTGATTTGTCTCACTCTTTTGTTGTTGTTGTTGTTATGTCCCATTAGTTACAGGTCAGTGGGCTATCCATAGATGATATTCTTTGTAGTAGGTTACCACCCTTTATCCAATTAGAGTGCTTAGAATGGAGGCAGTATTGTACACTACAGAATATTGCTTTCTCGGTTACCACTGACTATTTCTTTGCCAATATTTTAAGGTAAAGGAAGTTTTACAGGCAATGAATGAAAACTCCTGTGAAACATGATCTAAAAGGTTTTATAAATATTGCTAATTTCCAAGATCCCACATCAGTGTTAATAATCTATTTTCAATTTCTAATCTTTAAAACAAAGATAACCTGCATGAATTTTATAGCGCCCCATGAGACGTCCCATTTTTGTGTCTTTGTATTCTTATCTCTAGCTCTAGGACAACTACTCAATCAGAGGTATTTTTTTAAGTTCTAGATGTTTCAGCTTCTTTGTCAGCAATGCTGAGTCATAAAGAATTAAACAAAATGGAGTAGTGTTGTAAATGCACACAAAAAAATCAATATTGCTGAATTGAGGAGAAGAAATCAATAAAGGAAGGTATGTTATTGTCAAACTTCTAAAAGGATTTTGCAAACAGTGGAGAGTAGACAAAATTCCTAAAACATATATCAGCTCAACTGTCCTTTAGTATATTACACTAAGGAAGTAGAAAAGGTAAATAAACAAACAAATGACATTGTGAATGTATATTAAGGAGATTAAATGTAAGCTAAAGAGCCCCAAGTGTGGTTTTTGAAAAAGATGGTTCTTAAAGACTAATATCTCTCTCAAAGTAGATTTATTTTTGTTAGTTGTTTGGTGTTGTTTGAGTGATGTATGTATTTTGTCTTTGTTCTTGACGTCTGAGAAAAGAACATTTTTATATGGATATATTATGCCCTTTTGTTCAATAAAAAATACCATGAGTCAAGATGTCCTTACACAGCTTAAGATGTCATATTAACTCTTGATAGATGCAGGCCTTCCAAGAAGCTGATACACTCTCATCAATACAAGATGTCAAATTCATGATAAATAGCCTTTTAAAAATGAGATTTGGCTTAAAAAAATTGATAAAGAGCCATAACATTTAACCATCATAAAAATGAATCTGCCTTGACATTTATTTCATAAATTAAGATGTTTTAAAGTTCTATGAGGCCAAAGGCTAATACTTAGTAATATAATTCCCCTGTTCTCTAGACACAATAAAACACCTGCTATCAAATTCCTAATACTAATGCTGCTTAGTATTTTACAGTGTTTTCTGTTTTTCAAAGAAATTTTTCAAATATACTTGGTTTTATCCTCACAGCAACCCTGTGACATAAGTAAAGACATACTGGGCCTATTTTACAGATGAAGAAATAGTGATGCAGAAAGAAATAAATGGTTTAACCAAAGTTACAAAACAAGTTGGGAATTGTAATTCCACTTACTGATTCTTCTAGAAGTGCTTTTCCTGTTCTTCTATACATATTCTCCATGGGAGGAATAACTGTCCTGCTTCCATATGGAATAATAAAAAGTAATTCAATTTAGAAATAAAGACTGCTACTGCACTGATGTCTAGACTAACAGACTATTATTGTATTGTCTGAGGCAATATTTAGGACAGCATAAGGAAATAAAAAATACCAATATGTTTCTAGCATTTTAGAAGGTACCACATACCTATTAAGTACAGTTGTTTAAATAGAGCATTAGTAGAATAGAATCCTGAAATGCCATAGATGGGTAGGAATACTGAGAGCAAACACTTATAGCACATTTACTGTGTGCCTAACATGGTTGTGTTTGATCCTATGAGTTATAAATTATGCATCATTTTTAATTTTACAGTAGAGGAAACTGAGTTATTGAAAGGTAATGATTTGTTCCAGACCACATAGCTCATTCATATTTTCAGTAGCAAATAACTATGAAAGGCAGTATTCAGTTTCTCAGTAAAGGTATGTTTCCCATGAAATGATCTGAATGATTTGCTAGAAAGTGGTAGTGAGTCAAGATTAAAATAGCCTGGTTATTTTACACAGGATGATATTTGGAGATACAAAAACATAGGAAGCTACAGCAAAGATGTTCTCTTATTCTGTCAATGAACCTTTTATGAAATGTAAGAAATGACGGCTGGATGTCAGAAAACTAACAAGAATTACTGAGCTAAATATGTGATTTTGATTAGAAAATATTAAAGTGCTCATCAGAAATGGTTTTTTATAAAAATGACTAAACATGCCAGTCAAATGTTATTTGTTATACTAAGACACTGCTGAACCTCAAAACAAAAATAATGACTCAACTGCCTAGACAAGTATTTGAATAAAAATCGTTCAGTTTTATATTGTAAAAATAAACTGTATACCTAATAATAATCATTTTTAAAGCATTAAACTAGGGTAGCAAGTTCAAGTACTCCTTTAGAGATGGAAAAACACATTAGTTTTGAGAGTGAAATCTAGAATCAGATCAGACTCCTTATCTTCTAAATCCAGTGTTTTCTCTCATGTTTCCCCCAAAGAGTGAGGATGTTATGAAGAAAATGTGTGAGGAAAAAATAATGTTTGAATTTGGGGAATATTTTTCTTGATTTTTTCTTCTATTCTTTCAGAAACACAAATCTATCATGAGCCAGTGACATGTTTTCTATATGTAATTTAAAACATGTTATGTTATAATTCAGTTTGTTTAATTGTATCATGAATTTTATTTGGTGGGTGAATTAATTACTTTTCTAACTTATTTATGATGTTTTCTACATATTTTATCATGATGTTTCCATTAGTCCCACTTTGGGATAACTTCCAAACTTCTGTAACTTTTGATAACTTTGTGCCTCAGCAACATTAGACTCACTTATATAAATTTAATTACTGTAAACCTTGGAAATTCTAAACCACATGCCATGGGGATTCAGGAGGCAGTCATGCAAAAAAATAGATTATTTTAAAGCAAATAGACTTTAGAACATTCCAGTCTACATTGTAACATTCAGCTCAGTTTGAAAAAAATATGTCAAATTCATAGTATCTATCATGCTTACTCTACAATGTTTGTTCCCAGTATCATTGCATTGTTACCTTAATAGTTACAAAAAAAATTGCAACATTTGACGTTTCGAATTCAGTAATAATTTACACTGAAACTGAAACATACATTACAAGTAAGTGTGCATTGAACATACTTGAGCAGAATGGATATATTAAAAGCATATGTTAAATGTACAACGTAAATATTTTATATTTTGTTTCAGATTGCTTTCAATTATAGAGCAACAGATTCATGCATAAGCTCATTTTATCATTTTCTACAGAACTATGAGGTATTATATATATCAGGATATATAATATATATTACATATAATTATATTTATATTATATATTATATAATTATTTTATATTATAAAATAGTATATGATTTTATATATTATATTTTATATAAATATAAATATATATTTTATATTAGCATATGATATATTATATGTTTTATGTTATATTAATATATAATATATACTTTTGTTGTACTTTATAATATATTTTATTATATATTATGTAACATATTATATATCCTTATTTATAAAATTAATATAAATAAATATGACTCATATTCCTAAACAACTACTACAATACTAGTTTCATTTAGCCTGTTAGGTATTACTTGCGTTTCAGTATTTTTATCACAACTTTTCATTGGTAATGGAAATAAAATTTTATGAAAATCAAATACTTTGCAGGAAAAGACTGTGTTGGTAGTTACCCACGCTAGACAGCTGAGGATATTTCTAAGATTAATTATTGTGCTTAGAAAAATCTAGAAATGCCAATCCAATATAGCATAGCCTGATATTAGCTTTACTTCAGTAGCCTTATTGATGTTTAATTTAGTGAAGCAATAAATTTATTTAAAAATGTGTTTCTGCCTGCATTTATTTCCAGCATCTGTTTTATGAAAATCTATTTAAAGAATTTTTAAAAATCACATAGTAAAGCATGCATTCGGTTGCACATTACCAATAATTTATAGGGAGGAAGATTACTTCAATAGTTGTTAAGACAAGAAAGACAGGCTAATTGCCACAAAACATGTCAATGTAATTGTTATTAATATTTCATATCCAATGTAAAAATAACTTGAACATAGACCATGCATATAAAATATAGTTACAATCTTTTTTGCAATGGTGCATATTTGAATACTACATTGCCAGCTTTTTCTTATTAAATTAGCATGATTTTAGTGACAAATAAAATGAAAGGGGGAGTGTGAATAAGAAAATATGTAAATACGTAGATGGGGATTATCGCTTCTTTTGCTTTAATACTATGTATTTATATTTTGTCTTGAATTAATTAGGAGAGCAAAGTGAATAGTGTGATTTGCTTAGAGGACAATGCTGCTACAAAAACCTGTTCCACTCCAAGGCCAACTGCAGTTTTGAGGTAAGTTATTAATAAATGAAATAAAAAGACAGAAGAGAACCTAATTTAAAAATTAAGAATAATAGGGAAAGAGGGAAATGTGTATACTTGAGTTCAATTGGTCAGCTTACCATTTGCCATAATCCTCTTGTCATACTTTACTAGTGTCCAGCAAATAAATGTATAGAATTAATTAACTCACAGATATTATTTTTTATCCTGATGCCCTTTCTGAACAACTCAAGAAGTAAAATCTCAAATACTTAGAAGGGAAGGTAGCGCTAGGGTGTAAGTTCTTAAGTGGATCATTTGTTTTTTATAAGTACAACTTTACACTATTTTATGAGAAACTTTTGTACCAAATTCATATCTAATTTTATTCAATCATAAATTGCAGGGATCATTACAGAAAAGTGTTTCTTATTAAAATCAATTCACTTTCTATTTTGAGGAAATTTTATTTTATTTGAATTAATGTATCAGTAGAGATTTTCATGAATTAAAAAGCAATTTAATGTTTCTTTTATCTACTTAGACTGAATAGTAAAATGTATTATATAAAGCCTTGCAACTTATTACTGACCATTGGTGTACCTGAAGTTATACTCCTCCACAGAAGTTTTGGTAATAATTCACAAGCGCGTAATGAGTAAGAATTGTTTCCTAGAAATAGACTGAGAGTTAGGCAACTGACATATTGATGGTAATGATTTAGTTAAGCTTGTCTTGCTTTATTGTATTAAAAGAAGGAAACCTTTAATACATGGCTCCTGGATAGAACTGCTTTTTACGTTTTCCTATGTACTTAGAAATACAAAGCAAAGTTTAAAAGTAACCCTAGAAAGCAACAGCAATGGAGTTAAAGTTTTAAAGATAAAGAAGATGAATATAGCAGAAGCCTATTTTGTAGGATCGGTCTACTTAATAAGGAGGAATTTGTCTAAAATACAAAAGTTTAAGTGGTGACTAGGTTTTGAAAGGGCTTATCAATTTTGACTGGTGGAAACTTAAATATTCACTTGTTACTTTCTAATATGTGAGTCACCTTTCATTTTAGTAATATTTATTAACTATCTGTTATGTACCACATTCTAATTAAGGCATTAGGATAAAACAGTAGACATAAAAATCCCAACTATCAAGGAGTATCCTATGAGGTAGACAGGGTACATGACTAAATTAAATAATGGTAACAATAATAATACAATATGATAACCAATGTTTCGGCCTAAGCACAAAGCACATATCAAATTATTTAACCTTCATACCAATACTATGAGGCAATTACTAATAGCATTTCTATCATATAAATATGGAAACTGAAATATTCTGCTAAGTAATTTCCCCAAATCACATCCTAGTAAAATACAGATTTGGTAAAGAGAAATATCACCACTGAAGGATACAGAGATAAGACATAAGTACATGAGAAGAGGTTCAACTCCAGTAGTTATTTACAGGAATGTAAAATGATACAGCTATTCTCAAAAACAACTTGGCAGTTTCTTAAAAACAAAACACGTAATTGGTGTAAAACCCAGCAATTGCACTCCTGGTAATTTATCCCAGAGAAATGAAAATCTGTACATGAATGTTGATAACAGCTTTATTAGTAATAGACAAAAACTGGAGACAACCCAGATGCTCTTCAACTGGTTAATTGTAAAAAAATTGTGACACATCCATACCATGAAATACTATTCGGCAATACAAAGAAACAAAGTAGTAATACAGCAACCTGGATAAAATCCCTGGTGAATTGCATTGAGTTACAAAGATCAATTCCATAGGGTTACTACTGCCTGATTTTGTTTACATAACGTTCATGAAATAACAAATTTATAATGATGGAGAACAGATTAGTGGTTTCTGGGATTTAAGAATGGTGTGGAATAGTAAGAAATAGGATGTGGTTATAAAGGGTAACGTGAGAGATCCTAGTTTTGATGGAGATGTTCTGTATCTTGACTATATCAATGACTATATCCTGGCACAGTGTTGCAATTAGGAGATATCAATTGAAGGATATATGTAATCTCTATTATTTTCTACAATTTAACACAAATATTACAATTTTCTCAGAATAAAAAGTTTAAAATAGCAAAAGGATATAAAATATGTACCATGTTAAACTAATCAAAAGTAAGTCTGAAGAGTTTTTTTAATGAATGTCAGAAACTTAATTTAATAGTCAAAAAAATGTTACCAGGGATAGAGAGTGTCATTTCATGAACATAAAATGGCTCATTCATCAAAAGGGCATAAAAATTCTAAACATTGATATACCTAATGGCATAATGTTAACAATATAAAGAAAAACTTTTGAAATTAAAAGGAGAAAAAAACACATCAAAATCATTGTCAGTGATTTCAACACTCTCCTCTGATAAAACAGGTACACAGAACTGATAAAACAGGTAGACAGAAAATCAGTAAGACTATAGAAAATTCAATCATTACTCTAAAAACAACAAACATGTCTATTGATACTTAAAAATCATACCACCTAACAACAGAATACAACAGTAGAATACAGATTATTTTCCCATTATTTTCAAATGCCTTCATAATATTTATCAAGATAGAACATCTTCTTGGACATAAAACAAGACTACATAAACATAAAAGGATTCAAGTGATGCAATAATTAGAAATCAAGAAGAGAAAGATAACTAAAAGAGCTCTAAATATTTGGAATTTAAATAAACTTTTAAATATAGGTCAAAGATGAAATTAAATCTAAATATCTAAGGTAATTTGAACTAAATATAAAAACACAACATGTCAAATTTTGTGGAATACCACTAGATCACTATTTAGAGCTGTATGTAGAGCAGTAAATACCCAATAATACATAAAAAGAAAGGTCTTAAATCAGTGCGTAGTACTGACATAAATATACAAATAAAAAAGATAAACAGAAGAGAACAGAGAGTCCACAAACAGATCCACACATATATGAACAACTGATTTATAACTCAGGTAAAAAAAAAAAAAAACAATTCAGTGGAGATTGGATTTTGTTTTCAAGAAATAATGACAGAAATCAATTATTTACCCACAAGCGTAAAAATAAAATACCTCACACCATTGATTAAAATTAACTAAAAAATCATAGACCTACATATAAAACCTAAAATTACATCTAGAAGAACACACAGGAAAATAACCTCTGTAACCTTAAAATAAGAACTATTTTTGATACAATATATAAGTGTGATTCATATTAGAACAAATGGATAAATTTATCTTCAATTTCATCCTTAAAGTTAGGAGAATAAAAGGCCAGCCACAGAGCAACAAAAACTATTTCTACTATATATATCTGGTGAAGGAATAATAATTAGAATATGTCTGGAACTCTTAAAATTCATTGATAGTAAGCTAACAACCCAATTAAAGGACAAGGGCAAAAAACTTGAACAGCCACATTACCAGAGTAGGTGTACTTATTTGATGGCAAAGAAGCACGTGAAAAGACATAAGTACACATTAGTTATTAGAACAAGGCAAATGACAACCACAATGAGATACCATTATAACGACTACACATCTATTAAAATGGCTAAAATTAAAGAGGCTGACTATACCAATGGTTGACAAGGGTGTGGAATGACGGAAACTCAAACATTGCTGCCAGGTATGTAAAAAGGAACAACAAATTTGGGAAACAGTTTGACAGTTTCTTAAAAAGTTAACCCTACACCTGCCATATGATTCACATACACCATACCAAATACTTATTACAAACATATTACTGTAATCATAATTTCATTTCTCTGAAATAATTATTTAGTATGGAATATGTAAATCATAAGGTTTATTCATAATTGTCTTGAAGACAACTCAAATGTTTATTAACAATTGAAACTGTGGTACATTCATGAAATCAAAAGCTACCCAGCACAAACTTAAAAAAGAATAAAATATTGATACAAACTACAACATGGATGAACCTGAAAAGAGTTATGTTGAGTGAAGTAATCCAGACAAAAAAGACAACATACTGTGTGATTTCATTATGTAATATTCTAGTAACCTCAAACTAATCTGTATTGCCAGAAAGTTGGTCAGTGGTTTTCTGGAGATGAAAGCGAGTGTAGGAAAAAGTGAGAAAGAGAGATTAAAAAGAGGCAAGAAGAAAATATCAAAAATATATAAAAAATCCAAACAACTCAACAGTAAGAAAACACATAACCAACTTTTTAAATGGGCAAAGGAAATAAATATTTTTCAAAAGACTACATGGAAATGATTGACAGGTATATGAGAAAAATATTCATCATCACTAATCATCAGGGAAATGCAAGTTGAAACAATAGTGAAATGTCACCGCACAGCTGTTAGAATGGCTACTATCAAAAAGATTTTAAAAATAAACACTGGCATGGATGTGGAGCCCTTGTATACTGTTAGTGGGAAAGTAAGTCAGTAAAGCCATTATAGAAAATATTATGAAGATTTCTCAAAAAATTAATATCATCCGGCAATTCACCACTGCTGGTTATATCGAAAGATATGAACTCAGTATGTCAACAAGATATCTGTACTCCCATGTTCATTGCAGCATTATTCACAATAGCCAAGACATGAAATCACTCTGTGTCTATCAATGGATGAGGTATGAAGTACACACACATACACACACACCCACACACACACAATACTATTCTGCTTTTAAAAAGCTTTTTATATTTGTCCATGTCATTTACAACAACATAGACAAATATAGAGGAAATTATGCTAAGTAAAATAAGACACAGAAAGAGAAATACTGTAAAATCTAACTTATACAGAGGATCTAAAACAGTCAAACTTGTAGAAGCAGAGTAGACAAATGGTTACTAGAGGCTGGGGAATGAAAGAACTGGGGAGATGTTGGTCAAAGGATACAAAACTTCAGTTCAACAGAAGGAATAGATTCATGAGGTCTTTTGTACATCATGGAGATGATTATTAAAAACAATATATTGTCAATCTAAAACTTTCTAAGAGAGTATATTTTAAGTGTTCTCACCACAAAAAAATCATAAGTATAGGAGGTACTGTATATGTTAATTAGCTTGATTTCATAAGCCATTCTACAGTATATACATTTATCAAAACATGTTGTCTACCAAAAATATATAGAATTTTTTATTGGTGAATTTTTTTAAATAAAAAGAATAGGCAAGAGGAATCTTTTTCCTTATCTTTATTGTGTAATTGTTTCATATATATTTATATATTTTAAAACTTGTAAATTGTACACTTGAAATGCATGCAATTTGTTGCACATTAATTATGTATTCATAAATCAGTTAACAAGACTGATCTAGTTTTAGACACATTTTCTAAAAATGAAATAGGCATTTTGAATGTAGACATTTTTTTCTTTCACTGTGCTTTATTGAGAAACATATAAAGCCTAAATTGTAAAGCGTATTTTTCAAAGGGAATTCAGGTGTACGTTCCCTTGCTTCCAGTAGCTTGAATGTTTAAACATCCCAGAACAGATGGCATTAAGCTCTCTGAATTGAAACCTCTAGAGCTAAAACTCCTCAAATTTTCTTGATCTGAAGGTCAGCATTGTGTACTTACATCTCTTCTTGTTTGTCTTATGCTCATTTGTTATACCTCAGTTCTCATTTTTTTAACTTCTGTATGAACTATTTAATTTTGCATGATAATAATTAAGCCAGCCTTTATTGTTCTTTACTTCTGGCTTACTTTTAACCTCAGTCACATTCAATTTTGCACAAGTCATAAAATCAATCATGTCATAAAACAAAATAATTTTAACATAGTAATGCATCAATTTGGAAATGTGGGAAAGTGTTAGGTTTCTGAACTGTCAAAATTTCTGGTTTTCTTACTTTAACATTATATTCATTTAAGTTTATTACTTGAGTAAAATTTTTATTATTTGTAATTGAGGTAAACACATTATTTCCTTATAGCATAAGTAATCTTTTTATTATAGTGTTTGCTGAGATTATATGGTAGGCATCTTTCTTTGTTTGTGTTGCTATAAAGGAATAATACTTGAGGCTGCGTAATTTATAAAGAAGAGAGGTTTATTTGGCTCATATTTCTACTGGCTGTACAAAAAAGCATGGCACTGATATCTGCTTGTGCTGAGTGACACAGGCTACTTCCACTCATGGCAGAAGGCAAAAAGGAGCATGTGTGTGCACAGATTACATGGCAAGAGAGGAAACAAAAGTTAGAGTAAAGGTTCCAGCCTGTTTTTAACAACCAGCTCTAATGGGAACTAACAGAGCAAGAACTGACTCATACCCATTCCAGGGAGCGCATTAATCTACCCATAAGGGATCCATTCCCACGACCTAAACAACTCCTATGAGGCCCCAACTGCAACACTGGAAATCAAATTTCAACTTGAGGTTTGAGGGAACCTTACAGCTACAGCAGTAAGAATTTATATTTTAGGTAACTCATATTTCAAATAGTTTTCACAGAATCAAGTGCAAATCATTATATATGTACCATGATACATACAGCTTTATAATGAAGAGAGAAGCGTGACAGAAGTAAAAGTCTATAGTAACTTTATAAACAAGATAATATTTGACATTAATGTTTTCTGAACGATATCAATGCAGGTCTAAAGGAATGCAAGCTGTAATATTCTACTTAAATATATTTATAAGCAATAATTTTATTTTGTGAATTTTGTAAAATTTTGTATTTAAAATTATTTGACATTCCTAGTATTTGTACAATATCATGGTTTTTAACCTTGTCCTTATTTATAAATTATTTAGTTCAGTAAAATTTTCTGACTTTGACTTACTTCCATCTAAAAATCCTCTAGATAAACATGCATAATAAAAAGGTTAACTAAGACTATCAACTTGAGGTTTTTTTTCACTTTATTTTTTTTTCATTATTATACTTTAAGTTCTAGGGTACATGTGCACAACAGGCAGTTTGTTACATATGTATACATGTGTCATGTTGGTGTGTTGCACCCATTAACTCGTTATTTACATTAGGTATTTCTCCTAATGCTATCCCTCCCAACTCCCCACACCCCACCACAGGCACCAGTCTGTGATGTTCCCTGCCCTGTGTCCAAGTGTTCTCATTGTTCAATTTCCACCTATGAGTGAGAACATGCGGTGTTTGGTTTTCTGTCCTTGCGATAGTTTTCTCAGAATGATGGTTCCCAGCTTCATCCATGTCGCTACAAAGGACATGAACTCATCCTTTTTTATGGCTGTATAGTATTCCGTGGTGTATATGTGCCACATTTTCTTAATCCAGTCTATCATTGATGGACATTTGGGTTGGTTCCAAATCTTTGCTATTGAGAATAGTGCCGCAGTAAACATACGTGTGCATGTGTCTTTATAGCAGCATGATTTATAATCCTTTGGGTATATACCCAGTAGTGGGATCGCTGGGTCAAATGGTAATTCTAGTTCTAGATCCTTGAGGGATCGCCACACTGTCTTCCACAATGGTTGAACTAGTTTACAGTCCCACCAACAGTGTAAAAGTGTTCCTATTTCTCCACACCCTCTCCAGCACCTGTTGTTTCCTGACTTTTTAATGATTACCATTCTAACTGGTGTGAGATGGTATCTCATTGTGGTTTTGATTTGCATTTCTCTGATGGCCAGTGATCATGAGCATTTTTTCATGTGTCTGGCTGCATAAACGTCTTCTTTTGAGAAGTGTCTGTTCATATCCTTCACCCACTTTTAGATGGAGTTGTTTGATTTTTTCTTGTAAATTTTGTTTCAGTTTCTTGTAGATTCTGAATATTAGCCCTTTGTCAGATGGGTAGATCGCAAAAATTTTCTCCCATTTTTTAGGTTGCCTGTTCACTCTGATGGTAGTTTCTTTTGCTGTGCAGAAGCTCTTTAGTTTAATTAGATCCCATTTGTCAATTTTGGCTTTTGTTGCCATTGTTTTTGATGTTTTAGTCATGAAGTCCTTGCCCATGCCTATGTCCTGAATGGCATTGCCTAGGTATTCTTCTAGGGTTTTTATGGTTTTAGGTCTAACATGTAAGTCTTTAATCCGTCTTGAATTAATGTTAGTATAAGGTGTAAGGAAGGGATCCAGTTTCAGCTGTCTACATCTGGCTAGCCAGTTCTCCCAGCACCATTTATTAAATAGGGAATCCTTTCCCCATTTCTTGTTTGTTTCTTTCTTTCTTTCTGATTTTTTGAAGATCAGATGGTTGTAGATGTGTGGTATTATTTCTGAGGGCTCTGTTCTGTTCCATTGGTCTATATCTCTGTTTTGGTACCAGTACCATGCTTTTTTGGTTACTGTAGCCTTGCAGTATAGTTTGAAGTCAGGTAGCATGATGCCTCCAGCTTTGTTCTTTCGGCTTAGGATTATCTAGGCATTGTGGGCTCATTTTTGGTTCCATATGAACTTTAAAGTAGTTTTTTCCAATTCTGTGAAGAAAGTCATTGGTAGCTTGATGGGGATGGCATTGAATCTATAAATTACCTTGGGCAGTATGGCCATTTTTATGATATTGATTCTTCCTACCCATTAGCATGGAATGTTCTTCCAGTTGTTTGTGTCCTCTTTTATTTCCTTGAGCAGTGGTTTGCTGTTCTCCTTGAAGAGGTCCTTCACATCCCTTGTAAGTTGGATTCCTAGGTATTTTATTCTCTTTGAAGCAATTGTGAATGGGAGTTCACTCATGATTTGGCTCTCTGTTTGTCTGTTATTGGTGTATAGGAATGCTTGTAATTTTTGCACATTGATTTTGTATCCTGAGAATTTGCTGAAGTTGCTTATCAGCTTAAGGAGATTTTGGGCTGAGACAATGGGGTTTTCTAAATATATAATCATGTCACCTGCAAACAGGGACAATTTGACTTCCTCTTTTCCTAATTGAATACCCTTTATTTCTTTCTCCTGCCTGATTGCCCTGGCCAGAATTTCCAACACTATGTTGAATAGGAGTGGTGAGAGAGGGAATCCCTGTCTTGTGCCAGTTTTCAAAGGGAATGCTTCCAGTTTTTGCCCATTAAGCATGGTATAGGCTGTGGGTTTGTCATAAATAGCTCTTATTATTTTGAGATACGTCCCATCAATACCTAGTTTGTTGAAAGTTTTTAGCATGAAGGGCTGTTGAATTTTGTTGCAGGCCTTTTCTACACCTATTGAGATAACCATGTGGTTGTTGTCTTTGGTTCTGTTTATATGCTGGATTAAGTTTATTGATTTGCATGGGTTGAACCAGCCTTGCATCCCAGGGATGAAGCCCACTTGATCATGGTGGATAAGCTTTATGTTGTGCTGCTGGGATTTGGTTTGCCAGTATTTTATTGAGGATTTTTGCATCGATGTTCATCAGGGATATTGGTCTAAAATTCTCTCTTTTTTGTTGTGTCTCTGCCAGGCTTTGGTATCAGGATGATGCTGGCCTCATAAAATGAGTTAGGGAGGATTCCCTCTTTTTCTGTTGATTGTAAAAGTTTCACAAGGAATGGTACCACCTCCTCCTTGTACCTCTGGTAGAATTCGGCTGTGAATCCATCTGGTCCTGAACTCTTTTTGGTTGGTGGGCTATTAATTATTGCCTAAATTTCAGAGCCTGTTATTGGTCTATTCAGGGATTCAACTTCTTCCTGGTTTAGTCTTGGGAGGATGTATGTGTCCAGGAATTTATCCATTTCTTCTAGATTTTCTAGTTTATTTGCGTAGAGGTGTTTATAGTATTATCTGATGGTAGTTTGTATTTCTGTGGGATCGGTGGTGATATCCCCTTTATCATTTTTTATTGTGTCTATTTGATTCTTCTCTCTTTTCTTCTTTATTAGTCTTGCTAGTGGTCTATCAATTTTGTTGATCTTTTCAAAAAACCAGCTCCTGGATTCATTGATTTTTTGAAGGGTTTTTTGTGTTTCTATTTCCTTCAGTTCTTCTCTGATCTTACTTATTTCTTGCCTTCTGCTAGCTTTTGAATGTGTTTGCTCTTGCTTTTCTAGTTCTTTTAATTGTGATGGTAGGGTGTCAATTTTAG
This sequence comes from Homo sapiens, assembly GCF_000001405.40. Lineage (NCBI taxonomy): Eukaryota > Metazoa > Chordata > Mammalia > Primates > Hominidae > Homo > Homo sapiens. The sequence goes on from NC_000002.12 coordinate 51,772,154, forward strand.
ATCTTTCCTGCTTTCTCTTGTGGGCATTTAGTGCTATAATTTTCCCTCTACACACTGCTTTAAGTGTGTCCCAGAGATTCTGGTATGTTGTGTCTTTGTTCTCATTGGTTTCAAAGAACATCTTCATTTCTGCCTTCATTTCATTATATACCCAGTAGTCATTCAGGAGCAGGTTGTTCAGTTTCCAGGTAGTTGAGTGGTTTTGAGTGAGTTTCTTAAAACTTAGTTCTAGTTTGATTGCACTGTGGTCTGAGAGACAGTTTGTTATGATTTCTGTTATTTTACATTTGCTGAGGAGTGCTTTACTTCCAACTATGTGGTCAATTTTGGAATAAGTGTGATGTGGTGCTGAGAAGAATGTATATTCTGTTGATTTGGGGTGGAGAGTTCCGTAGATGTCTCTTAGGTCCACTTGGTGCAGAGCTGAGTTCAATTCCTGGGTATCCTTGTTAACTTCCTGTCTCATTGCTCTGTCTAATGTTGACAGTGGGGTGTTAAAGTTTCCCATTATTATTGTGTGAGAGTCTAAGTCTCTTTGTAGGTCTCTAAAGACTTGTTTTATGAATCTGGGTGCTCCTTTATTGTGTGCATATATATTTAGGATAGTTAGCTCTTCTTGTTGAATTGATCCCTTTACCATGATGTAGTGGCCTTGTGTCTTTTGACCTTTGTTGGTTTAAAGTCTGTTTTATCAGAGACCAGGATTGCAACCCCTGCCTTTTTTGTTTTCCATTTGTTGTTTGATCTTCCTCCATCCCTTTATTTTGAGTCAATGTTTGTCTCTGCATGTGAGATGGGTCTCCTGAATACAGCACACTGATGGGTCTTGACTCTTTATCCAATTTGCCAGTCTGTGTCTTTTAGTTGGAACATTTAGCCCATTTACATTTAAGGTTAATATTGTTATGTGTGAATTTGATCCTGTCATTATGATGTTAGCTGGTTATTTTGCTCGTTAGTTGATGCAGTTTCTTCCTAGCATCGATGGTCTTTACAATTTGGCATGTTTTTGCAGTGGCTGATACCGGTTGTTCCTTTCCATGTTTAGTGCTTCCTTCAGGAGCTCTCGAAAGGTAGGCCTGGTGGTGACAAAATCTCTCAGCATTTGCTTGTCTGTAAAGTATTTTATTTCTCCTTCACTTATGAAGCTTAGTTTGGCTGGATATGAAATTCTGGGCTGAAAATTCTTTTCTTTAAGAATGTTGAATATTGGCCCCCACTCTCTTCTGGCTTTTAGAGTTTCTGCTGACAGATATGCTGTTAGTCTGACGGGCTTCCCTTTGTGGTTAACCTGACTTTTCTCTCTGGCTGCCCTTAACATTTTTTCCTTCATTTCAACCTTGGTGAATCTGAAAATTATGTGTCTTAGAGTTGCTCTTCTCAAGGAGTATCTTTGTGGTGTTCTCTGTATTTCCTGAATTTGAATGTTGGTCTGCCTTGCTAGGTTGGGGATGTTCTCCTGGATGATATCCTGAAGAACATTTTTCCAACTTGGTTCCATTCTCCCCGTCACTTTCTGGTACACCAATTAAACGGGATTTGGTCTTTTCATATAGTCCCGTATTTCTCAGAGGCTTTGTTCATATCTTTTTACTCTTTTTTCTCTAAACTTTTCTTCTCGCTTCGTTTCATTCACTTGATCTTCAATCACTGATACCCTTTCTTCCACTTGATCGAATTGGCTACTGAAGCTTGTGCCTGCGTCACGTAGTTCTCGTGACATGGTTTTCAGCTCCATCATGTTATTTAAGGTCTTCTCTGTGCTGTTTATTCTAGTTAGCCATTCATCTAATCTTTTTTCAAGGTTTTTAGCTTCTTTGTGTTGGGTTCGAACATCTTCATTTAGCTCAGAGAAGTTTGTTGTTACCGATCTTCTGAAGCCTTCTTCTCTCAGCTCGTCAAAGTCATTCTCCATCCAGCTTTGTTCCGTTGCTGGCGAAGAGCTGCGATCCTTTGGAGGAGAAGAGGTGCTCTGATTTTTAGAATTTTCAGGTCTTCTGCTCTGGTTTCTCCCCATCTGTGTGGTTTTATTTACCTTTGGTCTTTGATGATGGTGACCTACAAATGGGGTTTTGGTTTGGATGTCCTTTTTGTTGATATTGATGCTATTCCTTTCTATTTGTTAGTTTTCCTTCTATTAGTCAGGACCCTCAGCTGCAGATCTTTTGGAGTTTGCTGGAGGTCCACTCCAGACCCTGTTTGCCTGGGTATCACCAGTGGAGGCTGCAGAACAGCAAATATTGCAGAACAGCAAATGTTGCTGCCTGATCCTTCCTCTGGAAGCTTTGTCTCAGAGGGGTACCTGGCTGTATGAGGTGTCAGTCTGCCCCTACTGGGAGGTTTCTCCCAGTTAGCCTACTCAGGGGTCAGGGACCCACTTGATGAGGCAGTCTGTCAATTCTTAGATCTCAAACTCCATACTGGGAGAACCACTACTCTCTTGAAAGCTGTCAGACAGGGGCGTTTAAGTCTGCAGAAGTTTCTGCTGCCTTTTGTTCAGCTATGCCCTGCCCCCAGAAGTGGAGTCTACAGAAGCAGGCAGGCCTCGTTGAGCTGTGGTGGGCTCCACCTAGTTCTAGCTTTCTGGCTGTTTTCTTTACCTAGTCAAGCCTCAGCAATGGCAGACGTCCCTTCCCCAGCCTCGCTGCCGCCTCGCAGTTCGATCTCGGACTGCTGCACTAGCAGTGAGCAAGGCTCTGTGGGCATGTGACCCACCAAGCCATGTGCAGGATATAATCTCCTGGTGTGCCATTTGCTAAGACCGTTGGAAAAACGCAGTATTAGGGCGGGAGTATCCTGATTTTCCAGGTACCATCTGTCACGGCTTCCCTTGGCTAGGAAAGGGAATTCCCCGACCCCTTGCACTTCCCAGATCAGGCGATGCCCCACACTGCTTCGGCTCACACTCTGTGGGCTGCACCCACTGTCCAACAAGTCCCAGTGAGATGAACCCGGTACCTCAATTGAAAATGCAGAAATCGCCTGTCTTCTGCGTCGCTCATGCTGGGAGCTGTAGACTGGAGCTGTTCCTATTCAGCTTTCATGGAACTGAGAGGAAGCAATTATTTTTGAGGTTTAAGTGACTGCTAGTAAAGTGTATCTTACAGTGTGGGGGATGAGGTGGCAGGAGTGGACTGAGTCGCTGAGGCCCATCCACTGTCGGTGGTTGGCGTAGTCACCGCAGCACAGGAAGTACTGGAGGCCCGAGTAGTTGGGCTGCTCATAGAGCATCCAGTAGCCACTGTCCACCTCAACTTGAGGTTTTAACATAAACTTCCTAACTATCAAAGTAAGATATTTCTCAAGTAAACAAATAAATGAGCAAATGGGTGAACGGGTCAATATGAGAATGCTAAAATGATACTAATTAGAATGCAGAAAAACAGGTTTGGATATGAAACAGTTGAAATTCTCATACATTGCTGGTGTGAATATAAAATGGTATGGCCATTTTAATACAGATGCAATTGTGGTTTTATATTTGTCCTTATTTATAAATGATCGATTTCAACAGTAGTCATTTTCAGATTTTTTATTAGATTCTAGCTGCACTCCTCTAGATAAATAAAAATTCATTAAAAGGGCAACTAAAAGTATCAATTTGAATCTTTAAGTGTTCAAATCATCCTAGGGTATTTTTCAAGTAAAAGCAAAAACAAGTAGCAAGAAGAAGCTAGTGAAAATGCAAATAGACCCTAGTAGTGATCACTTAAAAGTCATATTGTTCATGGTCACTTATTATTCTATCATAGAAATTCATGATATTATCATTGCCCAATTTATTCTCATTGAGATCAGCAAATAGTCTTGAAGATTTATGAGGCGGAATTTGCAAATCTGGGCTGCTGACATTTGTGGTGATCAGTGGGTTACAGGATTCCCTTGACAGATTTGCCCCATAAAGGAGCTAAGGCTTCCTAAGCAATCCATATTTTCTCAATTTTATTCATCCAATTTGACCCTGAAAAGACAGAGCTATATTATTATTTTCTGTTTCTGGGAGGAGTGAAGTGGTACTAATAATTTGTGTGTGTGTGTGTGTGTGTGTGTGTGTGAGAGAGAGAGAGAGAGAGAGGGAGAGAGAGAAAGAGAGAGAGACAGATTAATGTCAAAAATCAAATGTCAGGCACTACTGCGACTGTAATCAGTCAAGTCTATTCTGTGTGTTTGGTTAGTATCTGTAAGTTTCTGAATATGAAAAAGAAATGAGATGGTCCAGATGTTTACAAGAAGGAGTCAGACTCTGTAGAATATTTGAAGAGATTTATTCTGAGCCAAATATGATTGACTGTGGCCCATGACACAGACCTCAGGAGGTCCTGGGAACATGTGCCCAAAATGGTTGGGGTGCAGCTTGGTTTTACACAGTTTAGGGAGGCATGAGACTTCAGTCAAATACGTTTAAATATATTTAAGAAATACATTGATTTGGTCCAGAAAGGAGAGACAATTCTAAGCCGGTGAGGCGGGTAGTAGGGGGGTTACTGTACAGGCTATAGGTAAATGTAAACATTTTCTAGTTGACAATAGGTTGAGTTTGTCTAAAGTCCTGGGATCAATAATAAGCAATGTCTGGGTTGCTATAAGAGGTTATGGAGACCAAAGTTTTATTACACAGGTGAAGCCTCCAGGTAGCAGGTTTCAGAGAGAATAGTATATAAAATGTTTCCTATCAGACTTAAAGTCTGTGTTGATGGTAATGTCTTCCTATCATAGCCTGAAGCAGTCCTTCAGGTTAAATTTTAAAAGAGTTCTGGCTGAGGAGAAAGTCTATTCAGATAGTTGGGGGGCCTTAGAATTTTATTTTTGGTTTACACATGTAAGAACTCTGAAGCATTTAATAGTAAGAAAATGACCTGGTAGCTACAAAATTGTACACTGAGGGTTTGCAGTATATCACCCAATCCTCCTTCAACTCACTTGTGAGCATCTAGGCCTGTGCCCCTGGCCCATCATCTGGAAGAAATTGGCTTGATCGGGTTTCTTTTCTGACATACCTAATCTGTCTGCTGGTGGGGAAGGCAGGAAGCCTGGAATATCTGAGGAATGTGGTGGAATTGGAAAGAAACCATGTGTTGAAGACATCCATTGTGTGGACTACAAATTTTCAAAGAGAAATTTATTTCCTTTTTGAAAAATTAATGATGTTTTTTATTTAAAAAAAAAAGCCATGCTGAAAATCATAATGATTAACATGTATTGGATATCAGTTTTGTGACATGCTTCATTCCAAATGATTTTCATGTAATAATTCCTTTCATCCTATCAACAACCCACTTACATTGCTATTATCTTCATTTTAAAGATGAGAGAGCTAATTAATGAGACCAAGTTTCAGAGTAGGAATTTGAATTATGACTTTGAACCTAGTCTGGCTCTGCACAGTATACTCTTAAGCAGTAGCTTAGGAAAGAAAGCAAAAAGAAATAAGTAAATACATAAGATGATTTTTTCACTTTAAATATTATATATTTAAATATTTTACAAAATAGTGATTCACAGAAAACTCATTTTGTTATGACAAAAACAGACATTTTATGAAAAATTCCTGATATCTAATGTATAGTAATAATTAAATTTTGTGGCATCTTTTTAACCTGTATTCATTCACAATTTCAGGTATAGGCAAACTTAAGATAAATTAAGCATTTACAATGTTCTTATAATATCAGTGAAGTACTTTGCATTGGTAGTATATCTGTGATTTATATGCTACAAGCTGTGAGACAAAATGAGTACTATTTTATACCTTAGTTTTGCTTTTTATTCCACAAATAAAAAGCTGAAGACGTTTCCTTTCTGGTGATAACATCGAAGGGGCCTCTTGGAGGTGATAAATTTTAAAGAAAAATGTACGTCCAAGAGCATATTAATTCATTCATTCAATGCATATTTGTTGTGGCCTACTACATTCTAGGTCCTGGGAACATAGTGACAAATAAAACTGACAGTGTTTCTTCCTAAAGGGAACTGTAGCCTCTACTCTAACCTAAAGGATATGTAACTTCTACTTTTTCTCGTAAAGCTCAAAATCTTTCTTAGTAGGGGAAGATGGAGAAAACCAAGGTAAAAGAGCATTTATTAAAAATTCAATCACTGCCTATTATTAAGAAATCAATTTCAAAAAAAAAAAAAAAAACCTCAGTATTACCTTACAAGCGAGGACTCACTAAAAGGAAAATTAAATGTTTTGTTCAAGGTCATAAATCTGTGTAAGGGTCACAGCAACAAAGGAGATTGGTCTCCTGATTCTAAGATCAATTCTTTTTTTGCTAGACTAGCCTACTACTTAGTGAACGTGAAAAGATTTTTAAAATTATTTTTAATATTACTCCAAGAAGTTTAAAGCACAGTGGAATTCATAATTTACATTTCCAGGGATACCTTTTGAAAGTGATTTTTAAAAACTGATTAATCCTAAATAGATGAGTGTCCAAAGAAACAAACTCCCAGAATATGTATAAAAGGAGATATTTTTCACTTTTTTATGACCCCAATTTTACACCTGGTTCCTTAGCAGTAAGAGTCATGTGAGTAAAGATATCTGCTTATTTAATGGTAACAAATATTAATGAGTTCTAAAGATTATTCTTTTTTAATGCAATTTTGCATTGCCGAGATCAAAAGCAAGAAACCAAAATGAAACTTGACCAATTGCCCAAACTTTAGAATTGATTAAAATTAATGGAATAGAAATTTCCTTATTAGTATATTTTTATTTCTGTCTCCAGAGTGAGTAATTGTTCTAGGAATCAGAGGTAAGGCAAACGGTAGAAACTGGGAAGAGATGAGGCCTTGGAGTGTATAAAGGTTCCTGCAGTTGGATTCAAAATGCAGTTGGACTCAAAATGAGGCTGAGGCAGGCCAAGTCTGAGGTTCCCTTGGACACAGAATTAAGACTATGCTGGGGCTTCAGAGTGCAAATCGTGTTCAGTCTCAGACATTCCCCTTTCTTTCACTGTCCCTTCCCTCCTGAATAGTGACCTGAAGTCACGATTTTTTTTGTTTCTTTGTTTTGAAGGTAGGATCTCACTATGTTGCCCAGGCTTGTCTCAAACTCCTGGGCTGAAATGATCCTCTCACCTCAGCCTCCTTAGTACCTGAGACTACAAGCTTGTGCCATTGTGGGCTGAAGTCACTTCCTATCAAACTGCTTGTCATCAGTTCAAATCTGTCCCCAAGGCAGCTTCTATATTTTATTCTTTAATTAAACATAAAGATAGAGAAAAGAAACAAAATGTTTGGAAATTTAGATCCCAGGTGTGTGAAAGGGTATCTTACCTATTGTGTCCGGAATTGGTGGGTTCTTGGTCTCACTGACTTCAAGAATGAAGCCGCGGTGAGTGTTACAGCTCTTACGGTTGCTCGTCTGGAGTTTGCTCCTTATGATGTTTGGATGTGTTCGGAGTTTCTTCCTTCTGGTGGGTTTGTGGTCTCGCTGGCTCAGGAGTGAAACTGCGGACCTTCACGGTGAGTGTTACAGCTCTTAAGGCAGCGTGTCTGGAGTTGTTCGTTCCTCCCGGTGGGTTCGTGGTCTCGCTGGCTTCAGGAGTGAAGCTGCAGACCTTTGCGGTGAGTGTTACAGCTCATAAAGGCAGTGTGGACCGAAAGAGTAAGCAGTAGCAAGATGTATTGCAAAGATCGAGAGAACAAAGCTTCCACAGTGTGGAAGGGGACCCCAGAGGGTTGCCACTGCTGGCTCAGGCAGCCTGTGTTTATTTTCTTATCTGGCCCCACCCACATCCTGCTGATTGGTGGAGCCGAGTGGTCTGTTTTGACAGGGCGCTGATTGGTGCAGCCCAGTGGTCTGTTTTGACAGGGCGCTGATTGGTGTGTTTACAATCCCTGAGCTAGACACAAAGGTTCTTCACCTCCCCACTAGATTAGCTAGATACACAGTGTGGACACAAAGGTTCTCCAAGTCCCCACCAGAGTAGCTAGATACAGAGAGTCGATTGATGCATTCACAAACCCTGAGCTAGACACAGGGTGCTGATTGGTGTATTTATTTACAAACCTTGAGCTAGATACAGAGTGCTGGTTGGTGTATTTACAATCCCCGAGCTAGACACAAAGGTTCTCCACATACCCACCAGACTCAGGAGCCCAGCTGGCTTCACCCAGTGGATCCTGCACCGGGGCTGCAGGTGGAGCTGCCTGCCAGTCCCGTGCCCTGTGCCCGCACTCCTCAGCCCTTCGGTGGTCGATGGGACTGGGCGCCGTGGAGCTGGGGGCGGCGCTCTTCGGGAAGGCTCGGGCAGCACAGGAGCCCATGGCGGGCTGCAGGTCCCGAGCGCTGCCCCATGGGGAGGCAGCTAAGGCCCGGCAAGAAATCGAGTGCAGTGCCGGTGGGCTGGCAGTGCTGGGCTGGCCCGGGTGCTAAGCCTCTCATTGCCTGGGGCGGAAGGGCCGGCTGGCCGCTCGGAGTGCAGGGCCCACCAAGCCCACGCCCATCCGGAACTCCAGCTGGCCTGCAAGCGCTGCAGGCAGCCCCCGGTTCCCGCTCACGCCTCTCCCTCCACACCTCCCTGCAAGCTGAGGGAGCCGGCTCCTGCCTTGGCCAGCCCAGAAAGGGGCTCCCACAGTGCAGCGGTGGGCTGAAGGGCTCCTCAAGTGCCACCAAAGTGGGAGCCCAGGCAGAGAAGGCACCGAGAGCGAGTGAGGGCTGTGAGGGCTGTGAGGGCTGCCAGCATGCTGTCACCTCTCACTACCATTGAAAGTAATTGGATTTTTGAATTTGTGTATCTGACAATGTCAAAATTTTTCTATGCCAGAATTCAGTGTCTCTGACTTCAAAATGTATTTAAATGAAAACAAAGGGTCACAATCTGTTCATATTTGTTTTTTCTTTATTTTCAGTTCATATTTGGGTAATAGGCATGGCTCAATTTGCCTTCATGGTTAATTTTTAAACACACGCATTTTGGTATTTTTCCACTAGTCATCCTGGGCATGGCATAGTTTTAAGTACTGATTTAACTTATGGCTTTCTTATAACAGACTCTTCATTTTCCCAGTTTTAATTAATAGATTCTCATTTGGAATAGAGAAGGCTTTCTGGCATTTGGATACTGTTTTGAGTCTGGGATTTGTAAAGTATGACGATTTTGGAAAAATATAGCATGGCATGTATTTCTAAAATAAATTAAAAGTCTTCATTGTAGTCAATTGACATTTATGGGGAAATTGTTCAGTTTAACTGATGATAGATGAGAAATCCTAAAATTTACTGAAGTTTATTACCCATTTGTTATTGTTAAATCATTTTAAGTGTCTCTGGATATATGGAGCTGTAGAGAAAATTAATAAAAACTGATAGTGCTCTATAGTTGGATTTTGTTGCTAACATCAATAGCACCAAATTTTTAAAGATGAATTTTGCCCAAAAGCAAGGGAGAAAAATGATTTGCATTGTTTTATTATCTCATTTTTCCTTTATAAATATTTTTTGGGAAATCAAAGAATGAAAGTAGGCAAAGTGGAAAAAATGGGTAAGAAAAGAAACAAAAGGAAAAATAAAAATTTCAAAAGCATTGGTAAAAAACTGGAAAGAGGAGGCTGTCTCCTCCTCACTTCATCAAGATAAGGCGAGAAGCTTGAGACTCAAAGGAAAAACCAAATATGGGTTCTAAAAAAAATAGAAGGCCTAGCTGCCTACCTTGCATGCTTAGCGACTAATTTAGGCGTTAGAAACCACTGAATGAATCAGCCTGCAGGATATTAATGAAATCAGGCATCTTCTACTCTGATTCCCAGAGAAATTACTCTCCCTTCAGTGCTTCTTTCCCTCTGGCTTCACCAGGTGTTGGTAGCACCTCAATATGTTATCCTGAAGGGGAGTGAGGAAGCAGAAAGCAGGAGCTGGAATAAGAATCCGAAATCACCAACACTAGATGAAGTTATAGTTAAGAGATTTCTTCTGTTTCTTACTCCTGCTAACAAGTCATCCTAGTCTACCCACCCTCCGTACCTCCAGAATTAGGATTGGTAGAAGGAATGTACAGAAGAGATTGGACTGAAAAATAGAATGGCAATAGTTGGCTAAATTTAAAACTCTTGCTTCCTAAGAGATACAGATGGCAAGTTTGTTATAGTTAGCTCATCACTGGAGGTCTTTAAATAGTCCTAGTTGAGAAGCAACTTATGTACATGTAGCCATTAAAATGCAATAAATCTCAACACAATAAATATGGAGTGGGCAAGAACTATAAAAGATAACTTCAGACTCTAACAATAAGCTCAAATAGGTTTGATTTTAATGAGGTTTTGGAGAATTGTGTGTTTAAATTGTGTATTTATATGTGTGCACTCTAAAGAGGAAAAGAAACCAGGAATTGTATAATAAATAAGGGCTTTTCCTTTTTATAAACCTGTTCAATTTATTGTTTGGTATGTTAGAGGCATACGTTTAATGCAGCACTAGTTTTAGTTTCCCTTACCAAAAAAAAAAAAAATTAAAATTAACCAAATCAGGGAAAAAAAATGACCAAACATTCAAACCAATTTATGTGCAGGATTAATAAATGTCCACTACCTTTTTGGTTTTTTTTAAATTTTTTCCTTTGCCAATACGTGTTATTAGCTAAAAAGCCTTTTTGTAACAGAAATGTGTGTGTGTGTTTTTTATTTTTTCTAAGAAAAAAAAGAGATACATGTGCAGAACGTGCAGGTTTGTTCCATAGAGAAATATGTTTTTTTGAGGAGATTAACAATGATCTAATGTTAGGGATTCAGTGTTATGCATTATTACTCTTCAATCCTCCACGGAGAGTGTGGCTTTTTGAGAAGGGTCTGACTGAGAAGGCTTTGGTAAGAAAATGCTGAAATGGCACATCATAGTCTGACTCGCCCTGGGTGAGTCATCTTTACCTGGTGGTACTGGAGCAGCTTTCTGAGAGCCCAACTGGCGCACTTCTCTCCTGTTGGCATTACTATATTTAGAATGCATAGCTAGAGAGCTCAGGGCTCCTCAGAATGATATTTTTAAATGTGTCATCACTCTAGACATGCTCTCCCTCCCTCTCCAGCTGCTCCAGCCTCCCTTATACTTTCACACATCCAAATGGAACAGAATCAAGAAAAATCACACTCCAAAGGAACCTGTGACAGTAGTCTCATCCCGAATGTTAAGCTCTGGACTTAGAAGCATGCTAAGAGCTCCCTTGGCTCTTGTGCTTAGCGAAGTTTGAATTCTTCTAGCAGCTCAGGGGTATGATGTACAGTGCTGTATTGAGTTCATTGTTCAATGTAAGCCTCAGGGAAGAATATAGAAAAGTCTAGTGGATACTTTTTTCTTCATTTTTTAGAACAAGCTTTACAAAGGTTTGCATACTGGAATGGGAAATTCTGGCAATTGCTAGCTGTGACTCTGCTCCATGGTATATTAATTAATGATGAAGCAATCACGGGGAAACCTGGGCCTTTGTTCTAACCGCAAACATCTGTAGTGAAGTCAGCAGAGGCAGGGAATAGAGAAACAATCTGTACATGGAGTATACATGTAAGTAAAACATTACTAGCATGTCATTCAAATGAGAAATCTTTGTGAATAAAGGAAAAATCTTCCTCTATAAATTGTTTGATTTAGATATCTAGAGTCTACTTAATAAGCCATCAGTATTTTATATCCTTGTAAATGTACATGACTCTGAGACATAGAACAGATGCAATGTTGAGGGAACTGATTGATTAGCAGCTTTGTTAATTTATTTAATATCAACTTTCTTATCTTGCACCTGCTTTGCGAATTTTTATATCATATGTTCCTGTATACAGGGGATATGAGAAAAAAATTGCATATATGTGTCCTAATATTTAGGTAGGGAAACAATTATATGTGTGGCAAGTAAACCTCCAAAATAACACTTAATAATAACTTGACATAAACAAGAGTTGCATAATTAAATGCAGTTGATGGGACAGTGGTTTCCACGCAAGCTTACATAATAATAAAAGATTCAAGAGTAGGAAATTTAAACTGGTAGAAATGGCTCAGCAAATATAAAGGGAATTTCAGAAGAAAAAGGTGCTCACTTGGAGCAAAGGAAATACAGGGGCAATGAGATAAAATGGAGAGTCCTGAAATAGAAGGGAAACAGCAAAGGCTGCTGTGATAATACGAAGAAGACCATGAAGGAAAGTGTCAAAATAACATCTAGAAAGTTGGATGTTTTCCTGAGGGTGAGATAATGTCATTGTATGTTTTGGAACATAGCAGTGATATTTTAGAAATGGTTTTTGGACAAATGAATATGGCAGGGATTTCTGAATAAATAGAGATAAAGCAATCCTGGAAGCAAAGATATTAGCTAGGAAGTATTTTTTCTAGCTCAGCACGAGTCTAAGGAGGGCTTAAACTTGATTGTGACCAACCTTATGGAAGGAGACTGAGAAATATTACTATCAATAAAATGAAACCTAATGTAGGTGATAAGACAGAAGCATTGTTCTCCACTTACCCAAGAAAATATTTAAGATATCTGAATTCTCACTGGCAAGTGAAAAGCAAAGAAATGACCCAACACATGAGTAGGATTAAAACTACACTTTTAGCTAAAATAGCAATAATAATTTAGTGATTTCTTAACAAATGACAATCAGTGTGCTGTAAACTTTGTATGCATGTCCTTATTTAACCTGCAACACTCCATGAGGAAATTAATATTATTTTCCACAACTCAAAAATGAGAAATCAGGTTTATAAAGGTTAAGTAAATTTGCCAAAGGTCACCCATTCAATATTTCAAATTATGTCTGACTTTCCCACAAAGCTAGAGAACTTCTTGTTTCTCATCATATTTCACCTTATAATAAATTCCTGTGTTCTATGTACTCTTCTTCCTTAATTATATACCCCAAGATTGTATTTCTTTATTCTGTTGTCCTTTCAGACACCTCACACAGTACATCTCTTTCTAGATAATCGATTCACATCCTACCTCCCCTGTCTTGAGATGTAGTTTGTTTTGGAAAACTATGTAGTATTAGTGGTTCATTTATTTAAAATAACAGTTGGCCCATTGTTGTATATTTTTGAATTGTTTGCATTATTCTGCCTTAAGTATTAATGATCTGTCCACTATAGTTTAATTTCACTTTCACACTTGAGGGATCTTTTATGTCTCCTTTATATTACTAATGTAAAAAGAAGTTGAGAGCATAAAACTATGACATATAGTTGGGAGATACTGACCCATTAGTCAACAGTTTCTAGGATACATTTGCAAAGTAGTTATGCATCCATTTACCTTATCTAACATTCTCTGTTTTGACTATTTTATATATAATACAGTTTGTCTGGCTTCACTTGCTCTAGTGGATTCCTGTCGTCTTTAAATGGTTGTTACACTTTTTCTAAAAGTGTAATACAGCTTTTATTGACATTAATTATACAACACTATAGCTTAAATAATACAATTTTTGCTTTTTAAAATTTTATTTTAAAAAATCAGAATGGCATTTTCTTATGCACCTATTGTAGCAACCTCTCCCCAGTTCTCAAAGATTATTGATGTTAAGCATTTTCATCCAAAAGTTTTCTTTAAATTCAGGAATAGAACGTATCTGGTCCAGGGAAACTAAATCTAGTTCATCCATAGATCTCTTGAAAATCCCTCCATAATATTTAAATTAAAATTCTTTTTATCATTATTCATTAAACCCTTTCTAGTCCCAAATCAGGGATTTCTTATCAAGAGGAACCCACATAGAACTAAAGAAGTGCTTCTTTATTAAACCTTTTAACACTCACTGGTTTGTCTCTATTGCTCTTATTCCAATAGAGCTCAAAATTCCTGTTTGGGTTTGTCCACACTGGGAGGTGAAATGTCATCTTGAGCACCTAACAGTAGTGTTATTCACTTAACTTGAGATTACTTTTACCTGTAGCAAAAATGGACTGCTCAGGTTCTTTTTTGTTATTGCCAGAGCAGCTTCTATTGACAAATAACACATTACAATAAGCTGGTTTAAAATGGTTAGATGTGTAGTATCGGCAGTAGAACAGAATTTTGTTTGCTTTTCTATTTTAATCCAAGTATTTTTACTGAAATTAAACCTGATACCTCGGAATTATTAACACTAGAGTCTAACCATTTGAACTAATTGTGCAAAGGTGAGTTGAACTGGTAATACCATCGTTACAAACTATACGCAAGGCTATTTTCAGCCTTAATGAGAGAGGGCCAAGGATGAAAAATATAGTGATAATACTAAATTAAAGATAAAATTATGTAAATGCTTCTTGTAATTTACCAGTGAAAAGGTTCTTGGCTCTGTCACCGTAGAAAAAGAAAAGTACTTAGGTTTATGGAAGGCCTGCTAAATGTCAGGTATTTTTGCAAATACCATGTATTTGAGTCCAAAAATAGACCTTTGAATAATTATTGTCAATCTGTTTTATGGAACAGAACACGAAAGTTCAAGGAGTTTATGGTACATGGCAAATATAAAGAAAACTTTAAAATTTGTATGTTAATTCACTTCTTGGATAGACAAAGATAATTGCCCTAGGGAATTTTTATAGGTAGAGTTGTTATTTCATCAATAAGTAGGTAAATAAATGACTAAATACATAGATTTGCAGAATAACTTTTAAAATCTCAAACATTTGTTTTCCTGGTCGAAATTTCCACTTCAATGAGCTTTGGCATAAATTCTCCATATCCTAGCATCACTACTGGGCTATAATTTTCTAGGATTCTGACTGTACTTTTATCATCCATGCTCCTTTCTCTGGATTTACTCAAGCAAAGCCAATGAATGAAGGTTTCCTCTGATAGGCAATCTGTTCTGCTAGCATCAAAGAGCATCTAGGACACATATCCTTGTGAACCTTCAGTACTACTGTGCAGTCTGGCATGAGTAGAGCAAGGACACGCTTGTGTGTGACCCCATGCCAGCCCACATCTCACAGTCTGTCAGCCTGTAACCTCCTTCTGTTCCCTCACCCTGGCCACCCTTGGCCTTTTGTGGTCAAAGTATATAATGTCTAAATAAGAATAATAATAAAAGTAATGGAAAACAAAATATTGGATATCAGGTTTAAAGAGATCAGTACAAAGCCAATGCAGACATTTCAGGTTCTCAGGGATCATTTTCACAAATTTCCTCCCACAGGACTATATCCCAAGGAATTGACTGACTCTCAAACAAGATGATTTGACACAACCTGAGTTATAGCAGAAATGTATTACTGTTACTACTGGTATGACTACAATTTAAACTACAGTGACAACTTCTATGACTGCTACTATTTCCATTACTTTGGCTGCCATCAAACATGTATAGGGCATTTAGTACTTTCCAGAAACTGCACCAAAATTTTACATGGATTATATATTTAGCCTGTGAAAAATTATATTGGAGAAGGTACTGTTTTTTTTTTTTTTTAATATGGGGAAAAAGAGATTTAGAAATTTTCAGCAAATTGCCCCAATTCACACAACTGGTAACTTCTCAGTTAGACTGACATCATGATAGTTCTCTGGCTGCTACTATTCTTGTTACTGCTGGTATTAGCACAGTGAGCTCAAAGTCATATTTGTCTAATCAAAAAACTATGGTCTTAATTATTTACATCATGTTGTTCAATGCAGTACTAACAATTAAATATTAAAAGTTGAATATTATCTCTAAAAATTCATTAAATAAAGAATTAAAGAAAGAAAGAAAACTTCCCAGCCAACATGACTTCCATAGAGTGAGGTATGATACTGGTAAAAACTCTTCACTTCTGGGAGAATAAGTGTTTAAAAATACAATTGACTAAAAATTAATATGCTAAATTTTATAATATCACTCAATGAAGCAAAAATATTTATTGTATAGAGTCTAAGAAATTATCATTTTTAAATTTCTCCCCATTTTTATTGAGGTATAACTAATGAATTAAGTTGTATATATTTAATGTATACCTATAATATTTTCAAAATCAGTTTTGTTGCCAATTTTTCTGGTTTGATTTCTCCCCTCCTCTGAAACACATCTAAAATTTAATTTCAAATAAATAGCACTGGGAGGTGGGGCTTTGTAGGGTGATGAGGTCATTAGAGCTCTGCCCTCATGAATGGATTAATGCCATTAGCATGAGAGTGGATTCTTTATTGTGGGAGTGCGCTCCTGATAAAAAGATGAGTTTCTGGTCCAATTTTCTTTTTCTGTCTTCACTGTTCGCTTCTGCCTTCTGCCTTCTACCTTCTGCCAGGAGATATCCCTGGCAGATGCCGCACCATACTCTTGGACTTCCCACCCTCCAGAAACATGAACCAAATAAACTGCTAATGCTTATAAATTATACAGGATGTAGTATTCCATTATAGCAGCAGAAAACAGACTAAGACAGAAAATTGGTACTAAGAAGTGAGATTGTTGCTATAACAAATATCTGATAATATGAAAGCAACTTTGAAACCGGACAATAGGTAGAGGCTAGAAGAATTTGGATGAGTAAGCTAGTAAAGCCTGGATTGCCATGAATGTAGCAGTAAGGGCACTCCTGGTGAGAGTTCAGGAAAAAAGGATACCCTTAAAGTTTGAATTTTCTTAGAGATTACTTAAATGATTGTGATTAGAATATTAATAGGAATATGGACAATAAAGGTCATTCTGCTAAGGTCTCAGGCAGAATAAAAAAGTCCTATTTGGAAATGAAGTATAGACTATTCTTGTTATAAAGTGGCAAGAATGTTGGCAGAATTATGTCCATGTCATAGGACTTCATGAGACCTGAAATTTAAGAACAGTGGGCTAGGATATCTACTGAAAGAAATATCAAAGCAGCAAAGCATTCAGGCTGCTGTATGATTACTTTTAACCACATACACTGAGATATGAGAGCAAAAAGACGACCTCAAATTAGAATTTAAAATTAAAAGGAAAATAGAAAAGAATTAGAAAATTCACAGCCTAATTATGTAGAGAATAAAAAAGCATGCTTGGGAGAGATTGCTAAAGGCTTGGGCAAATGACTACTTGCTAAGGAGATTAGCACAGATAGAAGGGATCATCAAGACAATGCGAGAATGACCCCAAAGTTTCCAGAGATCTTCAAGGCTGCCCCTCCCATCATAGACCCAGAGCTCTAGTGGGGCTGAATGGTTTTATGGGATGGGCCCAGGGCATCCTCCATGGGTTCACCCATGGGCTCAGACCCACCTCAGGTCTCTGCTTCCCAAATTCTGGTGCAGTGCTCCCAGGTCACCCCAGTCATGACTTAAGTGGGCCCAGGTGCTGCCGCTCAACCTACTGCTCCAGAAGGTACAGTGATAAAACTTGGCAGTGTCCACATAGCTCTAATTCTGCAGACGCAAAGAATGCAAGAGCTACAGGGGAAACAATTACTCCTCCCAGGTCTCGTCTCACAGGATGTCATGGGCAGCCGGGGGCCATGGCAGAAATTTTTTGTAGAGAGGCAGAACCACTGAGGAGAGCACCCACTAGGACACTGCCAAGCAGAAATGTGGGATTGGAGCTGATACAGAGTCCCTGCTAGGGCAATGCCTAATGAAGAGTGGCTACTAATGGAGTAAGTCTACTCCCAAGACCCCTGAACTGTAGAACTACCAGCTTACAACCAAAACTCATGTAGAAATTTAATTGCCAGTGTCACAGAATTGGAAAGTAAGGCCTTTAAGAGGTGATTACGTCAGGAGGATTTTGCCCTCATTAATGAAGTAATTCTATTATTGTGAGAGTAGGTTAGTTATTGCAGGAGTGGGCTCCTGATAAAAGAATGAGTTTAGCTCAAAAACCTCTCTGTGTCTTGAATGCTTGCTGCCCCCTTCAGCCTTCTCCCTTATGCTATGAGGTGACCCTAGCCAGATGCTAGCACCATACTCTTAGACTTTCTAGCTTCCAAAACCATGAATCAAATAAACTTCTGTTGTCAATAAAGTACTCAGTCTGTGGTATTTTTTACATCAGCAGAAAATGGTCTGAAACACCAATGATTCATTGAGAGTAAATAAAGCAATAGAGATGCATTCAGTGTTCTGAGCATTGCAGACGGGAGCCTGTGACACAAAAAGTGTCATCTGTTATGTGTAATGTAATGGTAACAAAGTTGAAAACCACTTTCCAGAGGATTGGGGCCCCCAGAGACTTGGCTGTTAAAAGATATTTCTGAATAAGTGGTAGAACACATCGATTACATCTCTCTCCCTCTCTCTTTCCTCCCACTTTCTCTCTTACTCTTGTTCTTTGACTTCATTTTCATTTTCTTTGACTTCCTTCTTCTAAATATGTATACATAGAATCCCCAAGTTTGGCATTTTCGAAAAATAGAATCAGAATAATATATAGAGGTGCACAAGAGCAGCCACTGTGTAAATTCCAGTTATTCATTTGTTTATTTTATTTGAAACTACTAGTAGGTATATTTAGAATTATAATTATAATATGTATAGTGTGTGAAGTAAAGGTAGTGTATATAAATATATACTTATCATTTACAGCTGCACAATTATGTGATCAGCGAGGTTTAAAGTTAGCTGTAGCACATGGAAAGTCCTACTACGCAGAAAAGATGGTTGCCTAAGTTCTCCCGCCAAATTTAATAATGACTTGGCTTTGTAGCCTAATGTTTTATCTTATCTCATATTACTTCATAATTACATTTGTCTCTTCTTTCAGTAATTGATAGAACAAAAGTCAGAAAATCAATAAAATATATGACCTTTGAATGCCACTTTCAATCAACGTGACCTAAATGACATTTATAAAACATATCACCCAGCAACAGCAGAATACACATTTATTTTCACTATATATAGGACATTTACCTAGATAGAGCATATGCTAGGACATTAAACAAGACTCAAAATTAAAGCAGATTAAAGTCATATAGAGTATATTCTTTGATAAAAACATAATAAATTAGAAATAACAAAAATATGCTGACAAGTCACAAAATTTTTTAAAATTAAACAGTACACTTTTTTTTTTTTTTTGAGATGGAGTGTCTGTCACTCTGTTGCCGAGGCTGGAGTTCAGTAGTGCGATCTTGGCTCATTACAACCTCTGCCTTTGGGTTCAACTGATTCTCCTGCCTCAGCCTGAGACTCCCTAGTAGCTGGGACTACAGGTGCCCACCACTATGCCTGGCTAATTTTTGTATTTTTAGTAGATACGGGATTTCACCATATTGGCCAGGCTGGTCTCAAAGTGCTGACCTTGTGATCCGCCCACCTCAGCCTCCCAAGGTGCTGGGATTACAGGCATGAGCCACCATGCCCTGCCTAAACAATACACTTCTAAGTAATTTTTGGCTCAAAGAAGACATCACAAAAATAATTAAAAACATTTTGAATTGAAAGAAAATGAAAACATATAAACATTTGTGAGATGGAGCTAAAGCAGTCTTCAGAGAAAAAAATATAGTATTAAATGTGTATATTTGAAAAACATGAAAGATCAAATTATGATCTTGGAGGAGGCAAAACAAGGTGGCTGAATAGAAGCCTCCAGTGATGGTTATCCCTGCAGGGACACCACATTGAACAAATATCCGCATGAGAAAGCACTTTCATGAGAACCAGGCGGGTGAGTAACCACAGTGTTGGTTTTAACATCATATTTAAAAAGGAGGCACTGAAGAGAGTAGGAAAGACCATTTGAATTACCAACAACACCCCTCCCTCATCTCCTGGCAGTAGTCACATGGCACATAGAAAGAATCTGTGTGCATAGGGAGAGAGAGTGTAGTGATTGTGGGACTTTGCGTTAAAACTCAATGCTGCCCTGTCACAGAGAAAAGCAACATGGGACAGAATTCAGCCAGTGCCCATGGAGGGGGCATTTAGACCAGCCCTAGCCAAAGGGGAATTGCCCATCTTAGTGGTTAGAACCTGAGTTCCAACTAACCCTACCAACACATGCTAAAGCGCTCTCAGGCCTAAATAGACTATAAAGGCAGTCTAGGACACAAGGACTGCAGTTTCTGGGCAAGTCCACATGCTATGCTGGGCTTAGAGCCAGTGGACTTGGAGTGCACAAGACCTAGTGAGACACTGGCCAGGGTGGCCAAGGGACTGCTTTCTTCACTCCTCCCCCAACCCTAGGCAGTATAACATGCACTTCGAGGAGAGACCCCTTCCTTCCACGTGAGGAGTGAAGAGGGGAAAGTGAAGAGGACTTTGTCTTCCAACTTGGATGGCAGCTCAGCCACAGTAGAATAGGGCCAGGTAGAGTCATGTGGCCCCCTTTCCAGGCCCCAGGTCCTGGATGACATTTCTAGACAGAGCCTGGGCCAGAAGGAAGACTGCTGCATGGAAGGGAAAGACCTGGGCCTGGAAGAATTCATTATTTGATGACCAAAGGGCCCTTGGACCTTGAATAAACAGCAATTGCACCCAGGCAGTACTTGCCACAGACCCAGGATGAGACCCAGGGCTGTGCTGACTTCAGGTGTGATCAAGCACATGTCTAGCTGTGGCAGCCGTGGGAGGAGACTCCTTTTGCTTAAGAAAACAAACAAACAAACAAAACAAAAACCTTTAGAGTAAAAGGGTATTGTCTAGCAGCTTGGG
Organism: Homo sapiens; assembly: GCF_000001405.40. Taxonomy (NCBI): domain Eukaryota; kingdom Metazoa; phylum Chordata; class Mammalia; order Primates; family Hominidae; genus Homo; species Homo sapiens. The sequence continues at coordinate 51,792,679 of NC_000002.12, forward strand.
CACCAATGTGGCCATAGCAGTTGTATTAAGCTGTTCTTGAATTTCTATTAAGAAATACCCGAGTCTGGGTAATTTATTGTTAAAAGAGATTTCACAGTTCTGAAGGCTTTACAGGAAGCATGATGCTGGCATCTGCTCTGCTTCTGGGGAGGCCTCAGGAACCTTACAATCATGATGGAAGGTGAAGGTTCAGCAAGCACATTAAATGGCCAGAGCAGGAACAAGAGAGAGACAGAAGGAAGGTGCTACACAGTTTTAAATAATCACATCTCATGAGAACACACTCACTCTTGCAGGGACAATAACAAGGAGATGATGCTACACCAATCATAAGAAATCTACCCCCATGATCTAATCACCTTCCATCAGGCCCCACCTCCAACATTGGGGATTACATTTCAACATGAGATTTTGGTGGGACTTCATTGCTCTCCAGACCCCCAAATCTCATGTACTTCTTGCATTGCAAAATGCAATAATGTCTTCCCAATCGTCCCTTAAAGTCTTAACTCATTGCATCATTAACTCAACATTTCAAATTCCAAAGTCTCATCTAACACAAGGCAAGTTCCTCCCAACTGTGGGCCTATAAAATCAAAAAACATCAGTTTATTCAGAGATACAACAGGTTGTAGGCATTGGGTTAAACATTACCCTTCAAAAAAGGCGAAATCAGCCAAAAGAAAGGGGCTATGGCCTCACACATATTTGAAAACCAGCAGGACAGTCATTAAATATTAAAATTCAAACATAATCTTCTTTGACTCACATCTATGGCACATTGCTGTGAAAAAGTAGACTTCCAAGGCCTTGAGCAGCTGTGCCCCCAAGTCTTTGCAGTGTTCAGTGCCTGCAGCTGCTCTCACAGGTTGTAGTTGGATGCGTCCAGCTTTTTCATGTTTTCATGTTCATGATGCAAGCTGCCAATTGACCTACCATTCTGGAGTCCAGAGGGAGGTGGCCATCTTCTCATAGCTCTACTAGGCAGGACCCAGTGGGGACTCTGTGTGCAGGCTCCAACCCCACATTTTACCTCCACACTATCTCAGTATAGGTTCCCAATTAGTGTTTCTAAAATTTATATGGAACCAAAAAAGACCCAGAATAGTCAAATGCATCTTGAGAAAACAAAACATAACAAACTGGAGTAATTACATTTCCTGACACCAAATATTACCATAGAGCTATAGTAACAAAAACAGCATGGTACTGCCATAAAAACAGATACATAGACTGAAGGAAAAGAACAAAACACAGAGATCCATAGATCTACAGTGAACTAATATTCAAAAGAGGTGCCAAAAACATACATTGGGAAAAGGATTTTCTCTGCAATAAATGGTGCTGGGAAAACTGGATATCCATATGCAGAAGAATAGAGCTAGACCCATATCTCCTGCCACATACAAAAATAAAATCAAAATGGATTAAAGACTTAAATCTATGAAACTTCTAACTATGAAACCACTAAAAGAAAACGTTAAAGAAATTCTCCAGGACATTGCCCCGGGCAAAGATTTCTTGGATAAAACCCCATAAGTACAGGCAACCAAATCAAAAATAGACAAATGGGAGCACAGCAAGTTAAAAAGCTTCAGAACAGCTAAGTAAACAATCAATTAAGTGAAAGGAAAACACAAAAAATGGATGAAAATATTTGCAAACTATCCATCTAACATGGGATATATAACCAAAATATATAGGAATATATAATAAATAAGAATATATAAGAAGCTTAAATAACTCTATAGGAAAACAATCTATTAATACAATTTAAAAATGTGTGAAATATGTAAATAGATACTGCCTGGGAGACACAGTGAGACGCCGTCTCAAAAAAGAAAAACAAAAAGACATAAAAATGGCTACCTAGTACATGAAAAGGTGCTCAAAATCATTTATCATCAGAATAATACAAATGAAAACTACACTGAGGAGGAGGCAGGACTAACTTGCAGCTCCCACTCAGATGGACAGAGTAGCATGTGGAGACTCACGCTTTTGCTCCAATAACTACGACAGGAAAATACCAGGAAAGCTGAGAGAATCCACATATCCTTTGAAGGAAGTGGCTTGCTGTTGCAGGATCTATGAGGCAGCTGAAAAACTGTGAGTACCCAAAGTATGAGAAGGGAAACCTCCAGCCCCAGACACACATCCCCACTGGGGAACCTCAAGGTCCAAATCATGTGAAAAGGATTTGACCTTACCTGGAGCTGAGACAAATCTAGAGAGCTGAGCAAACTATAGGGGTAGACAAAGCAGCAGAAAGAGCCCTGTGGGCACTCTCAGTCCCCAGGAAAATCATTCCTGACTTTGTTTCATAGGAATCCTTGGGGAGGGCTGCCAGTGGAATTAGGGACAGACCACAGGGAGAAGGAAACTTCCAGCTGAACTTTGTAACAATATCGACCGAACATGAAGTTTCCTTAACAGAATCTGTGGAAGGGGGTGAATGGGGAGAGCAGATATGAGCCCAGGAACAGTGACAGGTGGGGAGACATGAAAGCTGAAAGCCTTGCTTGCTTTCTCAGCAGTGGGTCTCATAGCCTGGGGGAAGTTCTCAGCCCTGCTCACCAGCTGCCTGGAAATAAACCCAGTGCTTTTGAGGGAGAACAGTGGGAGTGAGACTGGCATTTTGGGCTATGTGAGAGCTGGGTGAGGCCCGTAACTGCCGGCTTTTCCCCACTTCCATGGCAACCTGTATGACACAGTAGAGGCAGCTGTAATCTCCTTGGGAATGTAACTTCATTGGCCTGAGAACCACACCCTCATCTCCCATGGCAGCATCACCAAGCGCCACCCAAGGAGAGTCTGAGCTCAGACATGCCTAACCCTGCCCCAAACTGATGGTCTTTCTCTACCCATCCTCATAGCTTAAGACAAAGGACGTAATCTCTTGAGAGCTCTCTGGGCCCATCCACTGCCTGAAATACTTATACAGGTGACCCTAGCACAAGCTTGTATCCTCCCTATGCAAACACAGCTGATGCTGTCACCTCCTGGTGAAGCGCCACCTCCTGGCTAGAGGCCAAACAACACAAAACCAGCACACTGAACAAAACTACAACCAATGTCCTCACAAAGTCCACTTTACTCCCCTGCTACCTCCAGCAGAGCAGGTGCTGATATCCATGGCTGAGAGACCTGAAGACAGCTCACATCACAGGATTCTTTGCAGACGCTCCTCATTACCAGCCCAGAGACTGGTAGCTCCACTGGGTGGCTAGGCTCAGAAGAGAACTAACAATCACTGAGTTTGGCTATCAGGAAGACCCATCCCTAGGGGAAGAGGGAGAGCACCACATCAAGAGGGCACCCCATTGAATAAAAAAATCTGAGCAACAGCCCTTGAGCCCCAGATCTTCCCTCTGACATAGTCTACCCAAATGAGAAGGAACCAGAAAAACGATTCTGGTAATATGACAAAACAAGGTTTTTAACACACCCAAAATATCACACTAGCTCACCAGCAATGGATCCAAGCGAAGAAGAAATCTCTGAATTGCCAGATAAGTAATTCAGAGGGTTGATTATTAAGCTACTGAAGGAGGCACCAGAGAAAGGTGAATACCAATTTAAATAAATTAAAAGAAAATGATACAGCATATGGACAAAAAAAACTCCAGAGAAATAGCATAAGTAAAAAAACAGTCACAACTTCTGGAAACAAAGGACACACTTAGAGAAATGCAAAATACACTGGAATGTCTCAGCAATAGAATCAAACAAGTAGAGAAGAGAACTTAAAATCTCAAAGACAAAGCTTTTGAATTTGTCTAATCTAACAAACACAAAGAAAAAAGATTAAGAAAATATGAACAAACTCTCCAAGAAGTTTGAGATTATGTTATGTGACCAAACCTGATAATCATTGGTATTCCCCAGGACAAAGAGAAATCAAAAAGTTTGAAAAACATATTTGAGGGAAGAATTGGGGAAAATTTTCCCAGCCTCGCTAAAGAGCTAGACATCGAAATACAGAAAGTCAAAGAACACCCAGGAAATTCATTACAAAAGTATCATTGCCTAGGTACATAGTCATCAGATAACCTTAAGAAGAAGGAAAGAATCTTAAGAGCTGTCAGGCAAAAACATCAGGTAACCTATAAAGGAAAACATATTAGATTAACAGCAGATTTCTTAACAGAAACCCTGCAAGCTAGAAGGGACTGGTGTCCTATCGTTAGCCTCCAGAAAAAAAATTGTCAGCCAATAATTTTGTATCCAGTGAAACTAAGCTTCATAAATGAAGGAAAGACACAGTCTTTTTCCAGAAAAATGCTGCGAGAATTCACCACTACCATGTCAGCACTACAAGAACTGGTAAAAAGAGCTCCAAATCTTGAAACAAATCCTCAAAATACACCAAAATAGAACCTCTTTAAAGCATAAACCTCACAGGAATCACAAAACAATAACACAATGAAAAAACAACAACAACAAAAGTATTCAGGCAACAGCTAGCATGATGAATAGAATAGTACCTCACATCTCAAAACAAATGTTGAGTGTAAATGGCCTAAAGGCTCCACTTAAAAAACACAGAATGCCAGAATTGATAAAAAGTCATCAACCAAGTATCCGCTGCCTTCAAGAGACTTACCTAACACATGAGAACTCACATAAAATAAAAGGGTGGGAAAAAAATTCCATGCAAATGATCACCAAAAATGAGCAGGGGTAGCTATTCTTAAATCAGACAAAACAAATTTTAAAACAAAATCAGTTTAAAAAAAGCAAAGAGGGACATTATATAAAATCAAAGGACTAGTCCAACAGGAAAGTATCACAATCCTAAATATATGTGCACCTAACACTGGAGCACCCAAATTTATAAAACAATTACTCCTAGACCTAAGAAATGAGGTAGACAGCAACAGAATAATAGTGGAGAACTTCAATACTCCACTGACAGCACTAGACACAGGTCATCAAAACAGAAATCCAACAAAGAAAAAATAAACAGATATTCAGAACAAATGAACATAATAGATATTTACATTACATTCTACTCAACAACAGCAGAATATACATTCTATTCATTGGCACATGAGCATTCTCTAAGATAGACCATATGATAGGCCACAAAAAAAGTCTTAATAAATTTAATAAAATTGACATTATAGCAAGTACTCTCTCAGACCACAGTGGAATAAAATTAGAAATTAACTCCAAAAGGAAACCTCAAAATCATGCAAACACATGGAAATTAAATAACTTACTCCTTGATGATTGCTGGGCTAACAATGAAACCAAGAAGAAAATTAGAAAAATCTTTGAACTGAATGATAATAGTGACACAAGCTATCCAAAAGAGCACAAATAGACAATCTAAGGTCATACCTCAAAGAACTAGAGAAACAAGAAAAAAAAAAAACTCCAAACCAAACAGAAAAAAACAAATAACAAAAATCAGAGCAGAACTAAATGAAATTGAATCGAAAAACATACAAATAATGAAAAAAAGCTGTTTTTTTTTTGAAAAAATAAACAAAATTGATAGGCTATCAACAAGATTTAGTAACAAAAGAAAAATTGCCAACAAAAAACATCCAGGACTAGGCAGATTCACAGCTAAATTCAATCAGACATTCAGTGAAGAATTGTTACAAATCCTATTGAAACTATTCCAAAAGATAGAGAAACAGGGACCCTCTCTAAATCATTCTATGAAATCAGTGCCACCCTAAAACCAGGAAAGGGCATAACAAGGAAAGAAAACTACAGGCCAATATTCCTGATGAACATAGATGCATACTATTCTAAGAAATACTAAATAACCAAATCCAACAGCATATCAAAAGGTAATTCACCATGTTCAGGTGGGTTTTATACCAGAAATGAGGGATGATTTAACATGTGCAAGTCAATAAATAAGATATACCATGTAAACAAACTTATGAACAAAAATTATATGATCATGTCAATAGATACAGAAAAAGCATTTGACAAAATCCAACATCCCTTTACGATTAAACCCTCAGCAAAATGAGCATAGAAGGGACATATGTTAAGGTAATAAAAGCCATCTATGACAAACCACAGACAACATTATATTGAATGGGGAAAGTTGAAAGTATTCCCCTGAGAACTAGAAAAAGACAAGAATGCCCACTTTCTCCTTATCTGTTGAACATATGACTGGAAGTGCTAACAAGAGCAATCAGGCCAACTCAAGAAATAAAGGGAATCCAAATTGGTAAAGAGGAAGTCAAACTGGCGCTGTTCACCCATGATATAATCATATATCTAGAAAGCCCCAAACATTCATCCAAACAGCTCATAGAACTGATTAATGAATTCAGTAAAGTTTCAAAATACAAAATTAATATACACTAATCAGTAGCACTGCTACACACCAACAGCAACCAAGCTGAAAATCAAACCAAGAGCTCAATTCATTTTACAATAGCTGCAAACAAAAACAAAAACAAAAAACCCTAGGAATATATCTAAACCAGGAGGTGAAAGACCTCTACAAGGAAAACAACAAAACACTGCTGAAAGAAATCATAGATGACACAAACAAATGAAAACACTTCCCATGTTCATGGATAGGTAGAAACAATATTGTCAAAATGACCATACTTCCAAAAGCATTCTACAAATTCAATGCAATGTCCATAAAAATGTCACCATTATCCTTCACAGAACTAGAAAAAAAATCCTAAAATTTAAATGGAACCCAAAATTACCCACATAGCCAAAGCAAGACTAAGGAAAAAAAAAAATCTGGAGGCATCACATTAGCTGACTTCACACTGTACTGTAAGGCTATAGTCACTAAAACAGCATGGTACTGGTATAAAAATAGGCACATAGACCAATGGAACAGAATAGAGAACCCAGAAATAAACCCAAATACTTACAGCCAACTGTTCTTTGACAAAGCAAACAAAAACATAAAATGTTTTATGAAAAAAGGCCGCCCTATTTAACAAATGATGCTAGGATAATTGGCAAGAAGAATGATATGGGGTCCTCATCTCTCACATTACACAAAAATCAACTTAAGATGGATCAAATACCTAAATCTAAGACCTGAAACCATAAAATAATCTAGAAGATAACATTGGAAAAACCTTTCCAGACATTGGCTTAGGAAATGACTTTATGACCAAGAACCCAAAAGTAGATTCAACAAAAACAAAGATAAATAGATGGGTCTTAATTAAACTGAAAAGCTTCTGTACAACAAAGGAAAGAATCAGCAGAGAAAACAGACAACCCAAAGATTGGGAGAAAATCTTTGCAAACTATGCATCCGACAAAGTACTAAAATCCAAAATCTACAAGAACTCACACAAATCAGCAAGAAAGAAACAATCCTATCAAAAAGTAGGCTAAGGACATGAATAGACGTTTCTCAAAAAAAATATGTGAATGGCCAACAAACATGATAAAATCCTCAGCATCACTAATTATCAGGGAAACGCAAGTCAAAACCACTGTACAATACCATCTTACTCTTACAAAAATGGTCATAATAAAAAAAATAGATCTTGGCATGAATGTGATGAGAAGGGAGCACTTTTACACTGCTGGTGGGAATGTGAACTAGTACAACCACTATGGAAAACTGTTTGGAGATTCCTTAGTTAAATAAAAGTAGATCTATCATTTGATCCAGGAATCCCACCACTGGGTATCCACCCAGGGAAAAAGAAGTCATTATCTCCCCAAAGGAATATAAGTCATTCCTCGAAAAAGACACTTGCGTATGCAAGTTAATAGCAGCACAATTCACAATTGCAAAAACATGCAACCAGCATAAATGCCCTCAATCAATGAGTAGATAAAGAAAAATGTGGTATGTATGTATGTGGTATGTATATATAATGGAATACTACTCAGCCATAAAAAGGAATGAAATAATGGCACTCGGAGCAACCTGGTTGGAATTGGAGACCACTATTCTAAGTGAAGTAACTCAGAAATAGAAAACCAAACATCACATAAGCTATGAGGACTTAAAGTCATAAGAATGATACACTGGACTTTGGAGACTCAGGGGATAGAGTGGAAGGGGGTGAGGGATAAAAGACTACACGCTGGGTTTAGTGTACACTGCTTGGGTGATGGGTGTACCAAAATCTCAGAAATCACCACTCAAGATCTTATCCACGTAACCAAATACCACCTGTTCCCCCAAAACCTTTTGAAATTGAGAATAAAAATGAAAAGAAGAAGAAAAAAAAACACATTGAGATATTATGTCACCTCATTGAAAATGGCTTTTATCCAAAAGTCAGGCAATAACAAATCCTGGTGAGGATAAAAAGGGAATGAAAAGAGAGGCCCTGTACACTGTTGGTAGGAACATAAATTAGTACAACCCTATAGAGAACAGTATGGAGGTTCCCAAAAAAATAAGTAAATAAAGCTGCCCTATGATTCAGGAATCCTACTATGTGGGTATTTGTCAAGGGAAATGAAATCTGTGTGTCAAAGAGGTATCTGCACTCCCATGTTTATTGCAGCACTATTTACAATAACTAAGATTCAAAAGCAACCTAAATGCCTATCGACAGACCAATGAATAAAGAAAATGTGGTACATACACACAGTGGAGTACTATTCAGCCATAAAAAAGAATGTGATCCTTTCATTTGCAATAACACAGATAAAAATGAAAAACAAGGTGAAAGGAGAGCAGACATGTCATATGGTGAGAGAGGGAGCATGAGAAAAAGGAGGAGTTGCCAGGCTCTTTATACAACCAGCTCTTGCATTAACTGATAGAGTGAGAACTCATTCATTACTGCAGGAATAGTACCAAGTCCTTCATGAGGATCCATCCCCATGACTGAAACAACTTCCACTAGGCCTGACCTCCAACGTTGTGTGGATGATATTTCAATATAAGAATTGGAGGAGACAAATATTCAGATTATATCATACTTTCTATTTTGGTTCCTCTTTGTGGAAGAGGCACATACTAGCTGCATCTAATCAGCCATCTTGAACCTCACCTCTGTTTTGTTTTGTTCTTTTACTTTTACATCACCATTTACATTACTGGTTTCCTTCTTATTTATTATAATAGGGGTGAAATTCAAGGCTTTCAAACACATTCTTAAGATTTGATTTATCTACTTTGTAGTATTTCTGATTTTTTTTTTTTTTTTTTTTTTTGAGACGGAGTCTCGCTCTGTCGCCCAGGCTGGAGTGCAGTGGCGCGATCTCGGCTCACTGCAAGCTCCGCTTCCCGGGTTCACGCCATTCTCCTGCCTCAGCCTCCCGAGTAGCTGGGACTACAGGCGCCCGCTACCACGCCCGGCTAATTTTTTGTATTTTTAGTAGAGACGGGGTTTCACCGTGTTAGCCAGGATGGTCTCGATCTCCTGACCTCGTGATCCGCCCGCCTCGGCCTCCCAAAGTGCTGGGATTACAGGCGTGAGCCACCGCGCCCGGCCAGTATTTCTGATTTTATGAACATCTCATGGTAGTATTAGAGTGAATGGAGAATACGGGGGACTGCTTGAAGTATAGAAGAGTTTATTGTTATTTTATCTCATACATAATTCCTGTGGGGTTTATAATTGCATCTTCCCTATTTTGAGATGATATAGTATCTGGATTTTGAGTTGAGAGTAGAAATTGTGGTTGGAGGCATTCTATTCTTTCTTACATATTTTTGGCTGAATATTACATGAAAAAAACATTGCTGTATTGAGTATTTTATGAACTGACCTCTGGGCTGACTTTTCTTAATTCTCTTCTATTTGAAACCATATTACCTAGAATCAAACTGATTTGCCACTTACCAGTTCTATAATATTTGGCAAATGACTTTATCTATCTGTGCCTCAACTTTGCCATTGATTAAAAGGGGGTAAAAATGACAACCTACCTCAAAGTGTTGTTATAATAATTAAATCGATTTATATATAAAGCAATTATAATGGATAAATGATTCAGAGAAAGGACTATATATCTGTTTGCCATTAGTTTTATATACCTATAATCAGTGTTTATTTCTCAGGCACTTACATCTATATTCTATTATTAGATTATCTGCCAGTCCTAGTTTTCTCTCTCTCCATTTAACAAAATGTTAGAGAGACCATCTTAATTGCTACTAACCAGATGTCATTTTGAAGAAGGCATGCCAATAAGAGGCCAGCAATAAGATGTTTCACAGTGGAATATAAAACTCCTCCCATTAGCAAATTTGTGGCAGAAAAATTAAAATCCAAATATTACATGTCCTTATTAACTAATGTTCACATATCTAAATACTTTGAAGGTTTAAGTTAAGAGAAATTCAGGCTCAGAATTCTTCCTTCAAATTTCATAGTCTATTCAGTTGCAATTAGGGGTTTCCAAAAGATTCTTAAATTCATCAGCTGGAGCCTGGTCTGTACTACTTTATGGGTGTATTCCTTTCAAAGTCTCAGAATTCAAAACAAATTTTCTGATGTGCATCACTTTTCAAGGAATCCAAAGATTTAACATAATACAAAAGCTTATCATAGCATTGATCTAACATGAGCAGACCAAATTCTGGTCTTAGCATTACCGAGATATCAATAGATTTATAGTAGTTATCTGGAATCCATGAACCATGAACTCAAATCACTTTGAAGAACTAGCCCATTCTGGTAATAATTTTAAACTATGAATCACTTTCTCTCTTCTCAGAAAGTGGTATTGGAGGCCCTTTTTTGTAAAATTACATATTTTTCATCAATGGCTCTTACTTTAGGAAGCTTTCCTACATATACAAATTTATTATTATACTTTGGCTTTGAATTCTGAGTTATTTACTACTAATTGATGCATTGAGCATAGAGCCGAAGTTTCTGTGCTCTCTTTGCAGCGTTTGTGGTTCTTGCCATTGTCCCTTCCTAGGAAAATGCTCAGGCCAAAGAAAAGTGTTCTATTTCTTCCATATTTTTGAGGGGCTGAGCAAACTTGGATGAGTTTTTAACATGTCAATCTGTTTCTTGTGTTTTTTCTTCCTTTATATACATAATTAGTTTTTGTTGCTAGATTTGACTGTATTTTTCCTTATTCTTTTTATTCCCTTCTGGCGTATTTATTTTCCCCATATAACTCTAAATTTTGTACTGTGAATTTTTCTATGGGCCATATAAGCTCAATGAATTCTGAGTTGGCCAAAAGCATCGTCCTGAATTCCTGATCTTCCTCGCTGCTAAGCTGAATAATCCCAGGCTTGAGATATCCTTCCCCCTCCATGTATTTTTTTAAACATGGTGTAAAACAGGCTAGCCATACTCTCAACTAAGATAAATACAGAGAAAGCAGCAAGCATCTGTCCAGCCTGTCCTGTAATGACCATCTTCAGACAAATCAAAGAACTGGTGATAAAAAATTTCCCTTTATATAAGAATCACAGCTAATAAATTGAAGGGGAATGAATGATACTCAAATGCAAGAGAATGGATCAAATCAAGGACAATCAATGTCTGCTAATCCATTAGGTACAAGATTATTTGAACTTTAAGACAGAGATATGAGACTGACACAACTTGAACCTGTGGTTCAACCTTTACTAAGAATATACAAATGGAAATAATTGAAACTATATAAATGTATTAAAAGTTTTTGTACCTGAATCTAAATGTATCTCTACATATACCCCTTCTCCAACTTATGAGATATTCAGGAGATAGAGGAACATGTTAAATAGTATTACATTTTGCAGAGTGTGAAAAATTACACCAGAGAGATGACCTGGTTTCTACAACATATAAATGGAGAAAAAAAGAAGTATAGGAAGGAACTGCTCCAGATAAAAAGAGATCTCAGAGAATATCAATCCAATTCAGTGTGTGACTTCGGTTGGACTCTTATTAAAATGAACAATTTTTGGAAAACTTTTGGGCAAAGTAAAATGTGATCTGTGTGTTTGATGCTAATAAGAATTTTATATTAATAATCAATGATCGAATAATTACATATTAAATGAAAAGCCATTTATTTGTTTAAAATAATGATTAACATTGAATGTGTTCATGGTATTTTTGTTAAGTTTACAAAATCCATATGTGTTACAAATACTAGTATGTTTATATTTGACATGATTGGATTCTCAAGAGTTACTACATAATGCTCTAAAAGAAAGGGTGGTGCTGGGGTTGGATGGGGGGCCAAATTAAACAAATATTGTTGGTTCTGGGTCCGAGAATGTTTATTTCACTACTGTCTCTATTTTTGTGTATGTGAAAACTTCCATTGTAGAACATTAATTTACAGAGGCACAGTGTATAATCCACATGAATCCAGGCAGGTATCCTCTCCTTGTACAGTTTCCTATATGAGTCCTAAATACAGTTCAAACATCAAAAGGAACTGAATTTTGGGGAGCCTATTGATACTGCAAACCTAGGCTTTTCATTAATAATTTAAAGCTAATACCTTAGTGTTCAATAGATTGGGTGACTGCATACTATATCATCCAGGCAACACATGTTAAGCAGGATGGAACAGGAGGCCAACAACATAAAAGAGGGAACATCCCAGGCAACCAGTCACATAAGGATACATTACTGATATGCAGTTTAAAGGAGCTGCTTACAGATTCAGCTGAAAAAAGAAAAAAAAAAAAACAACTACCCTTATTCTTAACAAGATTTAGTCAGTATCAGTTTTTTTTTTTTTTCTTTTGTTGTTGTGGTGGTAGTGGTGGTGGTGGTGGTGGTGGTGGTGGTGGTGGTGGTGGTGGTGGTAGTGGTGGTGGTGGTGGTGGTGGTAGTGGTGGTGGTGGTAGTGGTAGTGGTGGTGGTGGTGGTTTGTAACTACCGGCCATTCTGCAACTGTGCCGTTCAAGAACAGATGTTTGTAACTTGTATGTGATCACTGTTGTGATTGTGAAGCTCACCTAGCTTCAGGTCACATGCACCTTTCCATCTCCCTACATGCTCAGTCCTTGCCTGGAGTTTGGCTAAGTCATACTTGGTCTTGAATGTATATAAACAGACACTCCCAAATGGAGAAAGCTGCCATGAGCTATAGAAGTCAAAATATCATGTCACCTCAGGCTTTAAGTTGCTTGGGCAGGATGCAGCAAATTGTCAGTGTAAGAATAGCCATGCCTGGATACACAAAATGCTTAAACTTTAAGTGTGGTTTTGCATCCAAATTCCACTTACGTTTACTTTCCAAGGTTTGTAGGCCAATGTACCTAGATCTAATATGCCATTTAATTAAATTTATCTCAAACCTACACCCACCTCTAATATGATCATCAATTGCAAAGATAGATCTTTTATCCATTGGTAAAAGACACATATGTTTGTGTTCTGCAGCCATATCCAAAGAGGGAAAAGCAGAGACTGATTTAAACTGGCCTGTGTACTATCCCAAACTCACCAATCAAATAAGTCATTTCCTCCCCCAGGAGAGGGGAACCAAGGATGTCCTTCCGCATGAAAATGTCAGAACGAGAAAGAGAAGAAAAGGAAATTGTTGAAGAATCTAGGAGTGTTTGAAAGAGGAAGAGACTGCATTGTGCTCCCCAGATCAATGGTTGATAAGCTGAAGTTGTCCTCACACCATTAAGAGACACAGTGGTAAATCACATGATAGGTGTCACAGGAAGTTAAACTGTATAAACAGAGAGACCAGTGCCTACTTTTTTTTTTTTTTTTGAGACGGAGTCTCGCTCTGTCGCCCAGGCTAGAGTGCAGTGGCGCGATCTCTGCTCACTGCAAGCTCCGCCTGCCGGGTTCACGCCACTCTCCTGCCTCAGCCTCCGGAGTAGCTGGGACTACAGGCACCGGCCACCACGCCCGGCTAATTTTTTGTATTTTTAGTAGCGACGGGGTTTCACCGTGGTCTCCATCTCCTGACCTCGTGATCCGCCCGCCTCGGCCTCCCAAAGTGCTGGTATTACAGGTGTCAGCCACCGCGCCTGACCAACAGTAAAAAAGGATGAGGTGAACTGCCTTGGTCAGACTCTGAGAAATACTCACAGTTCCTCCTTCCTCCTGGCCAAGTCCTTGAAGAATCAAAGCAGCAAATAAACAAGGTGGAACAAGAGTGAAAATGAGAATGCATTTATCTTCTCCACTGAACGACCCCAAGTCCTGTGTCAGGGCTGAGGTAAGGAGAGATGAGAGTCTTTGAGCTGAATGTGTGATTGAATCTTTGATTTAAACTAGCTGGAACTCTTGAATACTAAAATTCAATCTCAGGTATTAAAATTTGTATTTTCTCATAATAAAAGTTAACTATAAATCTGTGGGATCTGTTGAGGGCACAGAACACTTCCAACAAAGTATATTTGAGAGCAACATAAGTGAGAAAAATAGACATGTTTTGTTTGTACACCTGAAGTCCAGTCTGTCAATAAGTTGGCTACTTATTTTCATTATCACAAAATTTTATCTATCAATTCCACCCACCTATTTTAGTAAGGCCTTAGATTTTATGACCTATCATTGCTTTCTCTTATAAAAATACCAAATTAAGACTACTCTGTAAGGGTTTTTGTTTGTTTGTTTGTTTATTTGTTTGTTTGTTTGTTTTGGTTTTTATATCCCAACCACTCATGCCAGAACATAGGCTGTTTGGTTCTTTTTTTCTTTTTTTTAGACATGGTCTCACTCCTGTTGTCCAGGCTGGAGTGCCGTGGCATGAACTTGGTAGCTCACTATAGCCTCCACTTCCTAAGCTTAGGTGATCCTCCCACTTCAGCATCCTGAGTAGCTGGGACCACGAGCAACCATGACCACACCCAGCAGTCGGTTCTTACAGTTTCATTCTCTATTCTTACTAACAGACAAGTCTTAGTCAGTATGGCCGGGTAGCTATAATAAAGACAGTATGAAATTCCCAGTGAATCTACCCTAAATTTCTCCCCTTCTTCATTTTCTCTTGATTCCATACCATCTGAGTCATTTTCTTTAACCCTAAATTGAAAAAGAAGCATGCTCAAGACTAGGTCTTGATTCATGCCTATGTTTTTATTTCCTCTTTCCCCTCACACTGCTGATAAACAGATATTGTCAGTGGCTAGTGTTAGATAGGCTCATAAATGACAAAAAGAAAGAAAAATAAATGGGGATCTCTGAGTAGCAGTGACTAGTAAAGTCTAATAAATTAGTCAAAGACAATACAGACAGACATCATTCACCACAAACAATCACATAACGAAAGGAGTATGGCCTCATGCTGACCAATTTAAGAAGCAGCTGAGGAAAGAGGCAGAAGGTTCTGTCACAATGTGGCTTTAACTTCACCCCACTTTAGAATTTGTGGGTGATCATGGATCCTGAGAATCCTTACACACACGTTGATTTGGAGAGAAATGGAGAGAGTGATCATGCTTATCTCTTCTCTCTTCCTACTGTCAAGAGGATGGTATGTGAGGTGAGAAGTAAGAACAAAAAGCTCTGCTGGGGAGAAATAAGTGAAATTAAGGATACCAACAATAGAAAATTATTCTTTCTGATAGAAACATGGGATTCAAGGTTCTCCAAAAATGAGGAAAATATTTGAATTCATGAGACTTGCCCCCATAAAAGCAGAATGACCAGACATCACTAGGATAAAGGATCCCTTCCCATAAGAGATAAATAAACATTTACTACAATTTGCTTTATTTGGGGTAAGAACTATCCTCCTCTACCTGTCTCACCAACTTACTATTATGCCACAAAGAAGATAATCAAATAACATACCTAAGTCCTCAATCCACAGTGTAATGAAATAAATAATAACCATACATCAAGCTAACAAGTAAATAAAGGAACCTACCCTATGTGTTAAGAAAATCTAGACTGAGTTGCTAGCATTAAGCGTTATCAATAGTAAAGAAAAAGGCACAACAACTCAGTATACATTTTACAAGAAAAAAATAAATAACTATTTTAAAAAGAAATACTACCTCAGTTAAAAATATAGCCCTAGGAACAAAATGCATTTCCCCATGCATGAAAACTTAATAAGTGTCATGAATCATTACAAATAAAACTCAAAGGTGAGATAATATTAAAATAAAATATTATAAAAAGGATATTATAGAGATAGAAATAAAGTAAAAACCCAAAATAATACTGATTATAGGACACTGAATAATTTAGAAACATCGAGAGACAACAAAGGGTTAGATTAAAGTCAAATTATAAAATAAGGGGAGGTTTGAGAAAATCATACTGAATTCAGGATAAAATGACAGAAAGATTAAAGCGATAAAAATGAAGGTGATAATCTTAAATATCAGACAGAAATGATCCAAAATAATTTTCATCCTTGAAGTAGAACCCCAAAAGTGAGACAGAACCTAGCATTAGAATGTACAATAGAAAGAAAGAAAGGTAAAATTTAAAATACATTATAAAATATTTCAGTAAAGTAGTAGCTAATGGGCAATTGGCAATGCTAAATGAGTAATTTACTGAATGTCAAATATGAGGAAAGCATTTTTCAGGTAATTGGGCAGAATAAAACAAGTCACCTATAGTGGAAAAATAAAAATTCAATCTTGCCTTGAATTTCTCTACAACAACATTAAATATCAAAATATGATGGTGCAATAGCTACAAAGTTCCAAGGAAAAATGAAAACCGAAGCCAAGATTTTATACATAATTAAATTGTCCTTCAAGTATAATAAAACAGGACAAAATAATAGAAAACGTGTTATTTCCAGGCATGCAGAAACTCAAGGAATAGAGTATTTATGGGCCATTTTTGAAAGAAAAAAATAAGCAAACTTGATAAATAACTCCAGTCAACTAAGTGATGAAGCAAAACAAAATAAAATGTGAAATGGAAAACTTGTCATAAAAGTACTGGCTGACAACAGTGAATCCATTTAAAAATAGAATAATTACCAAACATCTCTGGAATTGAAGATTGTAAAACGGAATACGAATTTTATCAACTTCAACAATATATAAATAATAATGTAACTTAAAAAAATTGGCAAGTGAGGGAGAGTAGAGGGAAAAAGAAGAGTCTATCTAGCTAATCGTTTTAAACATGGATCATAAACCATTCTCTAAAATTGGAACTGGCAGTTGAAAAATATACTTCCATCTATGAAAGATTTAAGGTAGCCCAATAACCTTTATTAACCATGCATATTTCTTTTAGGTGAAAAAGCTCACCTAAACTATATTAATTTATTGAATGAAAATTTTGTTTCATTAAAAATAACAATATAGCATGATGCAATTTATATGAAATTGTTTTTGATCTCATTAAATTTATTCAAATAGAGACATAGAGAAAGCCATGTCTATAATGAGGTTTTTCTAAAGTTAACAATGGCAGTCGATGGAGTTTGGGAAGATTTTATACTTTCCCTTTAACATTTGTGCTTTTCTGTATTACTTAAATTTTTATATTGATTTTTTGTATTCAAATGAAATTATGTTTTCAAAAACAATGAAGTCATTTTAATTAGAAAGTATATAGAGTGATTTTTATATGTTTACAGCTACTTCCAGCTATAAACATAAGCCAGAATGTATGCCTGGTTAAAATTTTTATAATCCAAATATACATATTTAAGTATTCTTTTGCCCCTTTGTTCCTTCAGGTCTCCTTTTTCTTTATAAGTACAGACAAAATTAAAGAAAAGCTCTGCCCAGGCATTATAGACTTCCTATTATCTAGCCCCTTTCTGCCTTGTTTTCCCTCAGGCAAATATTCTTGTTGAAGTGACTACTTTTTGTGCCTGAACCCCATCCTCCCTAGCCCTTTCTTACTACATGAAGTAAGGCGGCTGCCTCTGAGTGTGAGTTCCCGGTGCCTCCTTTCACCTCACTTCAGCCTATGCCCTCCGAATGAGTCAGTCCAGCGCTCAAACTTTTTACTTATCAAAGTCCTGTTTCTTTACAGTTTCCAAATGTCATATCCACTAAAAAGTTTTCTTGTTTGATTCTAGCACATCAATTTTTACCTTTTTTTTCTGAATTCCAATATAAATTATTTGATATTTAGAATAGAAAACCTTTTCTCTGTCTATCTAGAGAGAGGCCTGTTGTAGACATACATATTTGCTGCTGCCCTACATAGACTTTGAATCTCTCAAATGCAGGGAACGTATTTTATGTATCTGTGGGCTTCGAATTGTGGACAATTCACTTTACATTGTAGATATTTAGAAAAAGTTTATTTAAAATCATTAGGATGCTCATTTGAATTATGTCTTTACTCATCAGGCTTCACTATGTTTCCAGATTGGCCCCGTCAGAGGCAGTACAGAATGAAATGTGTCTATGTCTGATGTGTAGTTTACTATATCCCTTCTTTCTATATGTATGACTTAGAAGAATTGTGACAGGTACTACATTTTCTCAGATGCTAGTGCTTAAATTTTCACAAATCAGCTACTGACTTTAAAGTGTTTGTTCTATTAATAAGTGCACATGAAGTCACACACAATGTCCCCTTTAGGATGAAATAAATTGTATAAATACTGTTGAAAACAATCCCCAAATTAGATATTTCAGACATCCTGATGCAATTCCTGGCTTTTCTTATCCAAATTTCTCTTGGTCTCTGCATTTTGATGTTATTTCGAGTTTGGAGAAACTTCCTAATATTTCTTTTGCCTGGGGTTGAGCATGGTGAGTGACAATAAAATGAGGTGAAGTCATAACTTCATATTGACATAGATTGTTTAAGAAGGGAGAAAAACATAAATGATCACTTGTTTATTTATTGTGAAGCTGATTTTGTGAGCTCGCTAATAATAAGTTGCATGCCTGGATCCCTAAGTGTTCCAGTAGATGTGTGCCATTGTTTCTGTCTGACAACTTACTAGCCTTAGACTAAAACTATCATAAATATAATTAAGATATTAAATTTAAGCCAACAGTAAAAACACTGGTTATCAACCCGATGGCATAGCAGTTGTATGCTTTTGCCTAGAAATTCACACCCAAAAAAAAAAGTTGGCCTCTTTATTTCTGAAATCTACCTATATAGTAACTTGTCAGATAAGCCTATAGTTATTTCCAATGTTGCTGAATAGGTAGAAATTGAAAAAAAGAGAGATATATACATAATGATTCCTCACATTCAAATTAACATAGAAGCAGAAAAAGTGTTTTTATAAGGAATGTGTATGTTGTGTGCAGAAAACAAATGACCTGAGAGTATTAACACCAGAGAAAAACTATTTTCTCAATTCAGACAAAATTTTGCAGTTTCAATTTGCTTTATCCCCACAGTGCTAAAGGCTCATTTTTGGTGAAGAGACTTCTAGCAGAGAAAAGGTGCAGATTCTGTAAGCAGAATAGATTTCAAAGAAAGAAAAAGTAAGTTGAAGGGAAATATAGTGTATTAGTCCTGTTAAAAAAATACTGCACTGCAGGAAAAAGAGAGAGAGAGAGAGGGGGAAAAGGAGGAAGAGAGGAGTCAGAGAATCTCGAATCTCATTACTTCACATAAAATTTTATTTCTTGCTCTCGTGACGTGTGTTAGGAAGGCAACTTTCTAGGGCAGAAACTTTATCAAGAATGACTTGATTGTGTCTCTGAGTGTCAACCATCTCAATTCTAGGCATCTTTAATTGCTTGAGTAGAGGAAGCGATTGACTGGAAAATTGTGCAAAAACTTGGAAGTAGCACATGTCATTTTTGCGTGCATTTATTTGAACAGAACTATCCACATGGCCAGCCATGCACACAACAAAAGAGTATGGGAAGTATAGTTTTCCATAAACCTGAGAAAGAGAAATATGCAACTGGATATGGTGAACACATAGCATTGTTTCCACCACATTCATGCTCAGTAAGGCTCAGATATCCTGGAGCAAATCAAAAGATAAACCATCTACAAACAACTGAACATTTATCAGGAGCCTTTCATCTCTCCAAAAGTCCAAGTTGTTTTCCTGGTACAGAGATTCGCGCGCGTGTGTGTGTGTGTGTTTGTTTTCTAGGCATACAGTTGTATGTTTAATTCAAAACTTACACATTTTCAAACAGAAAATGATAGAAAACCTGAATCTTCCCCTTTTAAATACAAAAGAGATGATTCACCATTCTGTCACATTCTCCCTCCAAGTAACCTCATTGTGTGTTTGTCATTCCTTATGTTAGTCATTAGTGCTCACATGCTGTCTCTATAAAATTATGCATATGATCCTCAGTTTTTGATTACATACGTTTTATCTTCCTGAATGAGGAGATTAAATTCTTAGAATAATACGTACCGAAAAATTATTTTGCCATCAGCAATACCTTGTGAATGCCTTGCTATCATTCACATAGCATATACATCTTAAATAAATTATCCTATAGAATTTTAATGCAAAAGTGAAATATAAGATCCTAAAAAGACCAAGTGAAAGAAAAAGTTGTATATATGTAGGCTACATATTTACACTCAGCATTAGCTAAAGATTACTGATCTTTCACTAGTTGCAGAAACAACTGTACCCTATGCATGGTGTGGAATAATGTATGCAATCATATAGGATCTCAGGAGAGGGTACTTAATTATTCAGAAAGTTGATGTTTATGCATACTGAGAAGCAAGATAACAAGACACAATAAATTTGATTAACTTTTTATCTTTCTGCTTTGGAGCAAAATATATGTGCAAGGAGTGAAGATAAAAAACTCAGAATCAAATTAATGTATGAGTTTGGGAAGTAAAGCAAAAACTGAAATAAGCCATTTCTTTTAGTTTTTTTTAATGGGGACAATTTGAAGGCATTAATAAAATTCAAGAATATTTAATTATTTCATCTACCAATAATGTACTATATCTAACTATTAGCCAGTGTTATATTACAACTACTCTTGGAGACACAAAGATGACTAATCATATCTGATTTCCAGGAAGTGACAAAGCATTAGGGAGAAAAAATAAAAGCATTTCACATGTAAGTGAGGTAATAAGTTACATTCAGCAAGCCAGTAACATTATTAAAACTTATTTTTTAAGAAATTACTTACAAAGCATCATGGTGAATATATAGGAAAGTGGAATTCTAGGCAAATAAAACACATATAAGTCTATTGCAATAATCCTGACAAAAGATGGTAAAGACAGTGATATTAGAGAAAGAGGTATGTTTTAGAGATATCTTTAAAAGGAGGTACCCTCCCGAATGTCAGAATAAGAGAAAATAAGGATGTGGATTTTCTCTGATTTCTGTTCTGAAGGAAGAAATATGCAGTGAAGGAAAAGATGCAAGGAACTGTGGTAATTTAGTTTTGCGCAGGCTAAAATTCTTAGTAAAGTCCACAAGTCACCCTTTGAACTGACCCCCCAACTCCTCTCCAGGGTCAGGTCCTCTTTCTCCATCACACTCCAGGCTAAACAAGTACTCTTCCTTTCCAAAAATATATCATACTATTTCATTCCTATGAGAGATCACCCTCACTCATGCACCTAGAGAAGTCACACCTATCCTCACAACTCAGTCTGAAAGTTACTTCATTCAACATTCTTCTCTGAACTTTCAATATTAGGAAATATATCATACCTTAAATTTCTTTGTGTATGTCTATTCTCTCAAAACAGCATGCTTTACAGGAGTAAGGTTTGCTTTTTATTCATTTTAGTATCCCCAATCTCTTGTATAATTGTATCCACAGATATTTTTGAGTTGGTATGACTGATTAATGAATTGTTTAAGATAGGTTGGCCAACTGAAAAAAAAAATTAAGACAATAAGAGAGGTACAAATGAGCTCATAAGAGGTCAAATTAGAGAGCTTCCCATGGCTGCTGGGAATAATCATGAATGGTTTCATGGAGGATCTTGTTAGTAAGTTGGTAGTGCCTGGTAAAATTTTTAGGGTGATTACTTCACTTAGAGGAAAAGGACTAAGCAAGTATGAATACCAACATACTCAAAGAAATATAGGACAATGATACAGGCTTTTGATATTTACAAAGTTTGCATCTGATATCTGATAAGTAAGAATCTCATAATTTTCTAATTTATTATATACATCAGGTTAATGGAGATTTGAAACATTATCACTGTGCAATAAAGACAGTAAACTCAACTCATGTCTCCATAAAAACTATGTGCATGTGTGTATGTATAAAATATTATATACATAATATTAACTTTAATATAAAGATTTTTTTAAAAAAAGCAGTGTAAGCATACAGTACTAGGTTTTTGTTTTGATAGTAATCTAAAGAGACATTTGAAGCATCTTGAACTTGTTCCAGTATTGTTTGGGTTATTCATATCTGTATCTATTGTGTGCTTGTGTGGGTGGGTGGGAGAGGGTAGATTAGTTTATATTTCCTTAATTTCCAAGTTCTAGAAAAAAGCTCTTTAATATGCTTTCGGAACAATACAGATGAGGCAGAGCACAGCAGAACAAAACAATCAATTTCCCAGATAACTTTGTGAAAGAGGAAATAATGTTTCATAACCAACACTAAATTAACAAAGTGCATGAGGCCTTTGAGTCTAAAACTTTTAATGAGGAGGCTGATTTACAAGAATGTTGAAGTTGGTCAAGATATTATCTCTGATCTCCTTTGAATTACAGATTAAAACAATAATTAAATACTTATGAAAAGTGCTTAATTAGCTGTCCTGAAATTCTAAAATATTTCAGTTGTTGACTAGAAAATTGTGTTTATCAAGGATTGCAGCTGCAGATTCAGTGGACCTGAACTCCTTTCTCTGGTTTTCTCAGGGCACAGTTTTTCCCCCCTCTGGTGGTATGATATACCTATTCAAGATTACAAATAGCTAAAATAGTGTCATTAACATGTCAACATGTAGACTTAAAATACGCTATAAGATATTGCTTCATTAGGCTATACAGACCTTGTTGAAATTACTATGTCTAGGAAACAAAATTTTAAGAATATGAGAAATCAAAGCCCAGTGATGTTTTAAGACAATTACCTCATTTTTGTCATTATAGCAATCCCTTATTTATTTATTTATTTATTTATTTTTGAGACGGAGTCTTGCCATCTTGGCTCACTGCAACTTCCACCTCCCAGGTTCAAGCAATTCTCCTGCCTCAGCCTCCCAAGTAGCTAGGACAACAGGTGCGTGCCATGATGCCCAAATAATTTTTTTTATTTTCAGTAGAGAGTGTGTTTCACCATGTTGGCCAGGATAGTCTCGATCTCTTGACCTTGTGATCTGTCCGCCTCAGCCTCCCAAAGCGCTGGGATTGCAGGCATGAGCCACCACACCCGGCCACCTTATTTACTTTTAGAAACATAATGTATGATAAGCTAAGCTAAGGAAGAAGGCATACGTGCATACTCAGTTTTTCCAGTGTCTCAGTTAATGCTAGATTGTAAATTGCATGAAAAAGATACAGGATCTGCCATTTAACCATTGGACACTAATGCCTTTCTCTCTTGACAAATATTTATTGAATAAAGGTATAACTAAACTATCATTTACTAAGTTGTTAACAAAAATGAACTCTTAGAAACATGTAATATCTATTATATAGAATTACGTTGACTTAGAACAGATGAGAAAGTGGTATTTGAAAAACAAATCATAAATTAATTTGATTTATCTTTTTTTTAACCAACACAAGAGTTTCTTTTTATTATTGTGTATGTGTGTGGTTGTGTACGATGTGCTAAACCTTTGTTATGTATAATATTGAACCATTTCTTTATATAACATGGTATTTTGAAAACAATCTTAACTATGCTGCTTTTATACTAATTATATGTCGTATTTCAGAGAAAAGATTTTTTTTCTCCAAAATTCATTGTTATTTTGGTTCAAAGAAAATATGAGTACTTAAAACTGGCACACAAACTGCATTTGCCGCATTTGAATGTTCTGCATTAACAACCTAGCTTAGCATTTCCACTGCATGTTAAAAGATAGCAGCAATAAGCCCACCAGGGGATGAGAGAAGCTTGTTGAGGATAACAGTCCTTCTCTTCCAAATTCACACAGGTTTACTTTGAAATTTTAAGTGACAGTAATTTGTAATTTATGCCTCATTAACAAACATATGATAAGTAAATGAATTTTAGAAAATACTAGTAAAACAGCATTAATTCTTAAATGGGAGTCATTTTGATGTTTAATGTTTGTTTGCTATATGACCTTATGTAAGCTGGTCAAATGAGCTAAAGTCCATTTCTTTCATTTATTCAATCATCCATTTATTTTTCGATTATTTAAGTATTCACACAAGCTTTAATATGCACTAGGCACTGGGCTGAGCTCTGAAGATACAAAAAAGGATTCACACCCTAGATGGCTCACCATCAAATAAAGTAAAATTAGTGTTTGGTAATGGAAGTCTGAATAGTCATTACTGCTGGGAACAAAATAGACAGATTATAACAGAGTATAGAATACAGAGGAGGTACTGAATTCATGACCAACTTTGTATATCTAGATAGATAAGTTTTTCACTCTGACACGCAAATTTTCTGGGCCAAGAGGAAATGGATTTTTGGCAACATGGTCAGATATGGGAACTACATGATTGATACAGGTAAGGATCAGATTATAAAGTAATTTTGACCTACCACGTAGATTTTTAATTTCAACATGTAGGCAAGATAGCACCATTAAAAATATAAGGGGCGGAGTCAGATGATTAGATTTGCATTTTAGGAAAATAACAGGCAGCTGAAATTCCCGACAAGGAAAAGGCAAACTCTCTGTCGAACAGAAGGTGTAAAACTTACAGTGGACCTACTTCTTGGGCTTCAGTCATTTCCACTGATATGGACTCTAATCTCTCTGGAAAGCAGGAAGTGAACCAGAATGCTTATAAAGAAGTTCAGTATGTGAGTACTGACTGATACTTAGTCGTGCAGGTAGACAAGAAGCAGTTGACAAAACTGACAAAATTTGACCCTAACCTCAGAGGTGTTTTACTAGCTCAATATTAAATATTAAATATTTAACAGCTCAAGCTCAGTATTGTATTGTTACTATTATTTCAACTATCACAAGTCACCAAGTATAACTTTATTAAAGTGGTGGAAATTTATTTTAACTGTACCATCAAAAAATAAATCTCAATTTGAAGGTGATACCTTGCATGAAATTAAACTAACCTGTCCTTTTAAGACAAGTTGAAATTTACAACCCCCATAGGCACAACACTGACCAGGTACCACTCAAGTGTTTGCCAATTTTTTGCCTCCCTTTTTTTTCTAGCCCACTGTTGCCCAGTCTCAGAATCCTAAATTATTATAGCCCTTTTTTTTTTTTATTGCTCCTTTTTTTGCCATCTTAAGTCTGGTCTTTTTTTTTTTTTTTTTCTTTTGGGATTGAGTAACATAGTACATCAAAACCTAGTCATGGAATAGACAAAATTAGTTAGGGGGAAAGTAGAAGGTAGATAAAAGAAAGGACCTAGAATATACCTTTAAAAATTTAAATATTTATGTGGCTGCTGGAGATGACTAAGCCCAAAAGAAGAAACAGGAAAAGAAAGAAGGGAACACACATAACTTATATGCCTTAAAAAATCAAGGAATGAGAGGACTTTATGATGGAACAAATAGTCATCGGTGTCAGAAACTTTTGCCAATATAAATTTAAAGATAAATTTTAAAAATATCATTATACTTAGCGATATGAAGTTGAAGGGGTGACCTTATTGATAATTGTTCTGGTAGAACAATTGGGCTTAAAATTGACAAAATGTGAGGAAATAGAAACAGAGACTTACATATAAAGGGAAAGAGTTAGGTGGGACTATAGCAAAAGATGAATGAGAAGTCTAAAATAATTTTTTTAGCTTTTGTTATTTAAAAAAGGGCAAAATATAAAAGGATGAGATTAAATATGGAAGAAAGAAAAGGTATAATCACAAATATAAGTTTACTGTAAAGGGCAAAAGAGAAAGAATATCATATTTGAATGCATACATTTTAGAGAATAGAAGGAACAGAAATTTGGATAGTGAGGATTTAGATATATTAAATTGCAGTATTGATTATAGTATAGTTGATAAAATTTTGACTGATGGTATATACTTTTTCTTTAGGATAAAATAGGAGTCAAGCTCATCAAATGATAGAATGTGTGGGAGGAATGAAAAGAAATTTCTGTGCAGAAATTTTAAAATTGCTGTTTTGTAGAGTAGGAGATAAGTCTTATTTTATTTCATGCTAGATACACATTAGAATCACATCACCCAGGGAATTATTGAGTTAATATTTACACAGAATACAATGCACATATTTTAGTATATATATTTTAAAGGAGCATAACCAATACCCCAACTAAGATATGTAACCATTTTATTACCTTAAGTTTTCTCGTTTCGCTTTCTAGTCTATCTCCCTGTCACTAGGCAATCAATATTTTTATGTTTATCACCACAGCTAATTTTTGTCTGTTCTATGACTTTCTGTAAATGGAATCATACATATATTATTTTATTCCTGTTTTTGCTCAATCGATATACTATTTTGGAAATTCTTTCATCATGGTCCATGGATCAGTAGTTCTTTTTTTTTTTTTTAATTGCTGAGTAATATTCCACTATGTGAACATTCCACAGTCAGACTGTCTATTCACCTGTTGATAGACATTTGGATTGTTTCCAGCTTTGGTCCATTATAAATAAAGCTGCTGTGAGTACACAGAAACTTTTATGTATCACTTGTAAATGCTCATATTTTTAAGCTAAGCCAGTTATTTACAATATTTTATGTTTATTTTATCCAAAATAGTTACATATTTGTACTGAGAGAATTTTCAAGATGTGTTAGGCTACCTTCTGGGTAAAATCACTAACTTCTTTTTTCTTTTCTGTAAATTTACATTTTTTTCTAAATGAACTATGTTTTGAAATATTTTCCATAACATTTTCTAAAAACTAGAAAGGATACATTACTTAAAACAGGACAATGTCTGTTTTACAAACATAACTATCAAAAATTAATATATATTAAACATCTTTCACGTGAGATAAAAATGATTTTAGAAAAGTAGTTTGTGTTTATTTGCTCCTGTCTCTTGCCTTCTCAATTACTTTTTTAAAAATGTAATTAAATGTATGTTATTAAGCCTCCAGGTTCATGATTAAATAATTTTAACATCTTTTTCCATGCTCTATTTCAATGATTATTAATGAAGCTAGCATTCTATTTTGTAATATTATTTTCATGTATTTAGAATTAATTCCATTTACAGGTTTCGGTGGTCAATGCTATCCATTAATTTCATTTTTCTGAGTCTAAAGTTCTAGAATTATTTTTGTTCTTGAAGGTTTAATCATAGTTTTATTGCTTTCTTCTAGGACTAAAATTCAAAATGTATTTTATTGCTCCTTAAATCTGTCTTTTTCCCAGTGTATTTCTGCATTACCCATAACTTGACTGAGCGAAACATGACTGTCTTATAATCTTTGCCTATTTCTGTCTTAACCCCCTCTTTTTTTGTCAATATGTTGTAGAATCTAGAATTTCAGTAAAGAAAGCAGAAACCTGACTTATGTATCCTTCTGCATTTGCAACTGCTTGTGGTTTTTTTGTTCATTTTTGTTTAATGTTCCCTCCTTTTGTAATTTTTGAAATTTTGGGGGGGATTCATAAAATTTATAATTTTATCAGCCTATGCTTATTTTTTTCCTTTTCCTTGAATTTTAACGTGGGGTCTTTACAATCTATAAATCTAATTTTCCTTCAACCAAAGGAAAGATATTCTGTCATTTTTTTGTAAATTGTCAATATTGAACATCAACATGTTGCAAATATGTTCTGTCCTTCATATTTATTCATATATCATCACATTTGCTTCTATATTTTTAACTGCATTTTCAGAGTTCTTGTCTTTTATCTCAGTTAACAATTTACCCTTCTGTTTTAACTGATTATATTACAGTTTTTAAATTTATAACTTATGTGTATTTATCCTTAGATTTTTTTTTTTCTTCCAGGTCTCATATGGTTTCTTGTGACTGAATCTAGTTGTTCATCTCTTGATTCAGTCTATACTTTCTTGAATTTTACTCAATTTACGTATCTAATTCTATCCAAATTTTATTTCTAATTTATATTTTTATTGCATTTTACTTCAAAGGTTAATTTTCTTCTATACATTATCATTTTCTCACCCTTCTTTTGTGTATATTTTATTACCATTGTTATTGCCAAAGAAGGGGAGAGTGGAAAAGAGAGAGAGAAGAAAAGGAAAGCTATCAATACTTTTATAGAGCAATTTGCAAGGATTGTGTTTGTAATAATCACCATCTACGTTAAATATGTTTAGTTTTTTTTTTTTTTAAGGTGGCCAGATAGATTAACAGGCTGTATATGAAAGAGTCAGAATATCATTCCAGTAGAAACTCACCTTATTTCATTCTGTTAGCCATCTATACTTTATAGCTACATAGTATTTGATATATGGAATGTGATCTATAATGTGTGGTGTAACTATGTCTACTCTTTTTTCTGAACTTGCTTCTTATCTCATCAGGTAAAGAGGTAAAGAGTTAAGAAGCCCCATGCATACAACCTTGCATTCTCTGGGCTTCCCTTTTAGATGTTTTGTTCAGCCTTGCATCCCCAGTGCTTAAAGTTTCCATTGGGTTTGTGCTATCTGTGTCACTGTCTTTCTTCTTTCCAGGTATTGCTTCTCCCAAGCAAGTTTTGTTTATAGGGCCTTGTCCAGCTCTCTACTTGTTTTCTTTGTAGTTAAAACACGAAAAGGTAGGATGAAATGGTTTGCACTGGAGAGTTACAAATACCTGAATTATAGTCTGTGTTTTATATGCTTATTTATTTACTGAGAAAATATGTAAGCCAGAGCAAGTTACCAAACTTCTCTGTGCTTCAATTTCACATGACCAATTTCATTCTAAACAAGAATATAAACAACCTATATTAAAATAATGTGGAAAATCTAAGGTTTAGAATATGACCTTATTCATGTTTTACAGAGCAGCCAGGTTTTTCTTTCTCTTTTCCTTACTATCACTGTATCTTTTTTTTTTCTTTTTTCTTTTTTTTTTTTTGAGACAGAGTCTCGCTCTGTCACCCAGGCTGTAGTGCAATGGTGCGATCTCGGCTCACTGCAAGCTCCACCTCCCGGGTTCACAACATTCTCCTGCTTCAGCCAAGCTCCACCTCCCGGGTTCATGCCATTCTCCTGCCTCAGTCTCCCGAGTAGCTGGGATTACAGGCGCCCGCCACCACATCTGGCTAATTTTGTTTTTGTATTTTTAGTAGAGGCGGGGTTTGACTGTGTTAGCCAGAATGGTCTCGATCTCCTGACCTCGTGATCCGCCCGCCTCGGCCTCCCAAAGTGCTGGGATTACAGGCGTGAGCCACCGCGCCTGGCTCTATCACTGTATGTTATACCCTGGATCTTGCAAGGATTTCCTTACAAAACCCTATTATTTTAATCCTGGGCTTTGATCGAGTGAAACTGACACTCAGCGGAAATAGCAGCATAAATAGCTACACAAAGGAATTCCAAATCGACACCAGGGTACTAACAAAAGCTAAGATTTGCTACACGTAAACTAGCATTGCTCCAGAGAGAAACGGGGGCCTCAGCTCTCTTACTAACCTTCCTGCTTTCCAGCTTATTGTCCTCTTTACTTTTTTCAGAGTAATATTCAATATCTGAAATTGTTGTGGTTACTTCTTTGCCTGCCCATCATTTATCCTCTGTTTACTCAGTAAGCCTTCTAAGAATAAGGACTTTTTTCCTCTTGTTCACTGTGAAATTCTTAGCACTTACATCTCTCAAATTTTAGATGCTCATTAAATATTTGTTGAACGAATGAATGGAATTTAACACATTATTCCCCAGAGATCAAACATGAGTGAATTTGCGCTGAGTATTATCTTTATGGTACATGTACAACTTAAAACGGTAAAACCATTTGTTTCATGTATTTTGCCACTAAGTCCTCATAAAAATACAAAATAAAAATGAAAAAATCTGGGTAGATGACTGGAAATCTCTGTGTAGTCTGTATGGAAAACAATAGTCAAATTTTGTAATGCCACTAACATTAGAAAGCTAATGATCTGGAATAGTAAAGGAAGACAAATAGATTTTTAAAAGTGTTGGCTGAGGCAGAAAGTTTTTCAAGGTCAAACTATAAGAATGTCACACATGACACAATAAGCTTAGAAAAGAATTTCACATATAAAGCAGAGATACACAGAAGGAAAGGAGATTCCTCTTTCTGTACATGGTTTGATTGTCTCCTGCAGAAATGATAGCAATTGTTAAACAACGAAGGGCAAAGAGCAGTATTTCTCACTGTGACTTCATAATCGCCTACACCAGTGATTCTCAAATGTTGATGTGCATGTGAATCAAAGGGAAATCTTAAAATGCAATTTCTATCACAGTAGGTCTTGGTAGTAGGATTAGGACCTGAGAGTCTACTTTTTTAACAAGCTCTCAGGTGATGTCCTTGAACTACACTTTGTATAGGATGGAACCAGTCTAGCGAATCTATTAGTGCCTTTGACAGAGTTTTTGTTTCAAAAGTTCTGCCACAGACTTCTACATATGTACACATAAACTATGCTAAATCTAGCTCAATATTAAACTGTTGAAGTTAGGTGAGGAACAAGAAGCAGGCCCAAATCAAGGACTTCTCCCGTAGACACCAAGATGTTCAGATATATAATCAAGAGTCTGCTAACTGATGACTGAAAATAGAAGCTTTCTGGACGAAGTCAAGTTCTGTTTATTTAATTCAACCAGCGATGGAAAATGGAAAAATCGAAGGACTTTGAATCTCAAAGACTTGACACACCGATGGATATTCTCTGACTATAGAATAATTAAGTCATCGCAAAACACCTATCTAGGAAATACAAATGCATTTTTGGTGAAATTGGTAAGGCTACTTTGAAGAACAACTTGGCAATATTTATCAGGAGCCCCAAAATGCATTCCTATTATTATTTGGGGGATTCTATTCTCATGAAATTATCTTTTCACATATTTGCAAGTTCCAAATTGAAAATTCCATTTATTAAAATTGTTCAATAAAGATTATTGATAATAGGGGAAATTGGTAAAATCATGGATGTTAAATAAATAAATGTTTAAAACAATTATAAAATATACTTTCTATTTACTATTATTTATTCAATTGGAGAAATAGAGGCATACATCACAGATAGTGTGTTTTTTACAATTTGAAGGCTTGTTTCAACCCTGCCTCAAGCAAGTCTATTAGCACCCATTTTTCAAATGCACATGCTCACTTTATGTCTCCATGTCACATTTTGGTAATTCTCACAATATATTAAACATTTTTACTGTTACGGCTATTACGGTGATCTGTGATTAGTAATCTTTGATGGTACTTTTGTAATTGTTCAGGGTACCATGAACCTTGCCCATATGAGCCAGTGAACTTAATAGATAGATATTGTATATGTTTTGATTGCCCCACCAAATGGCTGTTTTCTCTTCTCTCTCCCTGCCCTTGGGCCACCCTGTTCCCTAAGTCAGAATAATATTGAAGTTAGGCCAGTTAATAACTCTAAAATGGCTTTTAAGCATTAAAGTGAAAAAAGAGTTGCACGACTCTTACTTTAAACCAAAAGCTAGAAATGATTAAGCTTAGTGAGGAAGGCTTGTCAAAAGCCAAGACAGGCCAAAAGCTAGGCCTCCTGCACTAGTTAGCCAAGTTGTGAATGCATGGGAAAAGTTCCTGAGAGAAATTAAAAATACTACTCCAGTGGACATGTGAATTATAAGAAAGGAAACAGCCTGACTGCTGATAATAGAGAAAGTTTTAGTGGTCTGGATCAAAGATCAAATCAGCCATAATATTTCTTTAAGCCAAAGCCTAAGCCAGAGCAAGTCTCTAGCTCTCTTTAATTCTAGCAAAGATAGGAGAGGTGAGGAAGCTGCAGAAGAAAAGTTTAATGCTAGAAGAGGTTGCGTCATGAAATTTAAGAAAAAAGCCATCTCCATAACATGAAAGTGCAAGGTGAAGCAGCAAATGCTGATGTAGAAGTTGCAGCAAGTTTTCCAGAAGATGTAGAGAGAAGTCAACGCCTGGCTTCAAAGCATCAAAGCACAGGATGACTCATTTGTCAGGGGGCAATGCAGCTAGTGACTCTAAGTTGAAGCCAATGCCCATTTACCATTCTAAAAATCCTAAGGCCCCTAAGACCGATGCTAAATCTATGCCTGTGTTCTATAAATGCAAGAACAAAGCCTTGATGACAGCCTGTCTGCTTACAGCATGCTTTACTGAATATTTAAGCCTACCGTTGAGAACTAATACTTTTAGAAAACAAAGTTTGAAAATATGACTGCTCATTGACAACGCAGCTAGTCACCCAAGAGCTCTCATAGAGATGTACAAGGAGATTGATGTTGTTTTCATACCTACTAAGAAGAGTCTATCAATGCAGCAACTTTGTTCTTCTTATTTTATGAAATTGCCACAGCCACCTCAACCTTCAGCAGACTTCACCCTGATCAGTAGCCACCAGCACCAAGGCAAGACCCTATACCATCAAAAACATTGTGACTCATTAAAGGCTGAGATGATCCTTAGCATTTTTTGGCAATAAAGTATTTTTAATTAAGGTCTATACATTTTTTAGACATAATGTTATTGCACATTTAGTAGACTATAGTATAGTGTAAACATAAAACTTTCATATATCCTGTGGACCCATACAATTCATATGAATTGCTTTATTAATATTCACTTAATTGTGGTGGTCTGGAACCAAACCTGCAATATATCTGAGGCATTCCTGTATCTAATTCAGCATCTCATCCAACTCTTCCTATAAACATTTGATTTCTGTGAGTTGAAGTTCTTTACTTTTGTACACTGGATGCTTTTCTAAGCCAACACAAATTGTGAAATATCATCAATTACAATACGTGCTCTAAATTCAGAGCCATTTAATGCAAAAAAAATGTATTTTTTAAAGATTGATTTGTTTAATAGAATGTAGAAAGAACAAAACTAAGATCCCAAGTTTGCCTATATCTCAGCCAAAGCATTTATTTTTTTAATTACAAATAACAATTATCTCTCTCTATATGTGTGTACGTGTGTGTGTGTGTGTGTGTGTGTATATATAGTGTGGAACATGTTTTGAATTACATATATACACTGTGGAATGGCTAAGTCAAGCTAATTAATATATGCATGTATCTTAAAATTAATAAAGTACACCATACGATAAGGTATAGGCAATAGCTACTACAAGAATTCAGATGAGAAAATGCAGCTATTGTGGGACTTGGCATTCATGCAAGGCTCTAAAGAGAAAGGAAGAGGAAGGAAAAATTTGGTGATCACTGAAGCATATGAAACACAGAGAATTATTGAAGGAGGAGTGTTGAGTAAGTTATAGTCTGATTGGCAAAAAGGATTATTGAAAGGGATTTGAAGGAAAGTTTAAGCTGGAAGAAAAGCCTTGCAGAAAAACAGTTAGGTGATACCTCTTATCAGGTAAGCCCTGTACTTATGCAAGACCTTCCTGATAAGAAAGAGGGAAATGATTCATGCTTCTCTACGTATTTTGCTAATTTATAAACTGTCATTGAAATAAGACTAACAATCATTTATTAGTTTTTCCTATGAGCTGTGTATTTGAAATGGTGTTTCATTGATCCCCTTTTAAGTACTCCTCACAATACCCTGCAAGGCAAACATCTTGTAGGTTCTGCTGTGTCCTTTGCCTGGCTCTTGAATCAGTTAGAGGAACTCATGTTCTCTGCCTTCTATTCAAAAATTGCTCTGTCAATGATTTAAATGTTAACTGCAACCTTATTATTCTAGTGAAGCTTCTCTGGTCCATAAGATTGACTTAGCCTGGATCCTTTGCATCTTCATTGTACTTTATCCTCTCAAACCACACTGAGTAGTTCAGTCAGAGGATAGCAGCAAAGATAGAGAAATTCCTTGAAGATTTCTAACTGGAGCAGGAGAGGCAAAAGTCTTTCCTTTGCATGCAGTAAAATAAACTGGCTGGAAAGAGAAGACTAGGAAGACAAGGTGCAGACAGAGCAAAATTTGTCACAGGGAGAGTATAAAATTCTTTTCAATTTTTATGCTATAGCTTTGGATCTTCCCTGATTTTTGTCTCCAGGTGGCTTAGTGTCTTATAACCCTATGATGACATAGCTATCCCAGGATTACTCAAGGTATCACTAAATAGGGATCTTATCAATTCATTCAAAAAATTCCAAGTCAATGTCACACTTAATAGATGAAATAAAATGACCTTGTTACAATCACCCAGCTAGTGATATTGAAGCTGAGGGTTGAAATCAGGTTTGACTGATGCCAAAGACTATGTTCTCTCCTATCTTCCAGCAACATCCAAAATAAATGTCTACACTACCCAATGTGATATTCACAAGCTATGTGTAGCTACTGAGCACATGGTATAAGAACAATATAAAAAACACCTAGATTTTTAATATCATTTCATTGTAATTAATTTACATTTAAAGTCTAAAAAGTCACATATGATTAGTGGCTCTCCCAACTATTAATGAGTTTCTATTTTCTGCCAGATATTGTACAAGCTACTTTCTGCTGGACACTGCACAAACTACTCTTTTCAAGTAAACCCCCATCCTAATTCAAATAGACATTAGAGATGTATAATCATGTATATGTATTTGACATAATACATATAATTCTATCACATGTAATACTAAAAGTTATAATGATTGGCAAAATGATGGAGCAAGGATTCTTAATTAGGATGATCATATTCCAAATCGTTGACTCTTTCAACTACCCAGTATTAGTATAGGATCCCAAAATGAAGAGTAACAAGAACTAGTTTGGTTTATTCTCCTTACTTGAACTCACTTGAATATAAATACCACTGTAAACTTCACATACAGTTTCTTGACTAGCTTTAGTCGTGGTTTATCTTCACAAGAAAGAATCATTAACTTTTGGTACGAGAAGAAGTTAACATTTCAAGACTACAGAACATAGGCTTCACTCATCCTACTTTGAAATAAAATGGGGTTTTATAAAAGACGAGGTATTTCTGTTTGTTGAACAGAAGGCAGCACAGGGTGTATGTAGAATAAATGCTATGAATGATTATAAAACCAAAACATTAGGGAGAAAAAGGGCAATTGCATACTAGGATTAAAGACTAAGCCAATAAATTAATATTCAGCTGATGACAAATAATACTATTAGAAGGAAGGAAGGTCATTAGTGATGAGGAATTGGTATCAATAGTCAAACTGAAAACTGAGATTAGGTTCAAAAAACAGTGGCTGCTGTCACACCCCAGGGCATAAAAGATAATGCAAAAGAATCCATTATATTGCTCCATCTGTATTTGTAAATACCAAATATTTTTTTTATTGAACTGAAACCAAGAAATACATCGGCGGCCTCAACAAGGAAGACAGTCCACGTATTATGTGAAGAATGTGAATTTTAGAAACTTCTGTAGGAAGAAAAAACACCTGAAGAAAATCCTGCTGTGTCTCTTTGTAGATGTAACAAATGGAAATTTATCAGGTATGATATGTGAGAGACCATTTGAGTTTCTAAAAGGCCCCATTATCACTGAAGCAAAAAAGTAGGTTGACAGAGCAAATGGTTTGCTTCACCTAATAAAACAGTATTCCTTCACCTTGATAGAGCCTCATCATTTCCTGTTGTACCCATTTCAGAGTCATTCCACAAAAGAAAAGCTCAGGCTTGTTACTGTGATATAAAGTGCGTTGCTCGCAAAATGTCACTCCTTATATTCATGGATGACTTCAGCAAAGACCTGGAACAATTTGATAGAGCAACTGAAACCAAAAATGTGTGCTTTATAAATATAGAGTGATTCACATAAAATCTGAATCTGAAAGCTTCAGGAAAAATGTGTGAAAAATAAAAATCAGTAACCCATCGTTATGCTTTCATGGGTGTTGTCAAATCAATTTTGTTTTTCGGGATAAAGAAATAGTTGAGAAATGTTGCTAATATAAGACATCTTTTCACTTTTGCCGGATAGATTTACCTGGTTCTAGACAGGAAATCACACATTGGAACAAAAATGGAATTTTGATCAAAGTGGGCAGAAAGACAGATAATATACAGATCAGTTAATCTATTTGTATAATTATGGTTATACAAATATATATGTGTATAGTTTATAGCCAAGAAATGTATACACCTTTTAATCTTTGAAGTTGATATGTGTATTTTCAAATCATTCCAATGCATTTCTCTTCTGATTCTTACCACTGTAAATTTAACCCCTAAGAATTTAAATAGTCATAAACTAAGTGCTTACATTAAAAACGTCTACTCTTGGAGAAGACATACTGAAAATCACCAGCAGTTTTAGGTCATATTAAATTAGTTTACACACATATACACACACACACTAGATAGATAGTTCAATCAACTTATCAATAGATAGAAGACAGATAAATATAGATGTAAATATGTAGTTATGTTTCTATATAAATCCATTGACAGCAGTCTACGTGAAAATGACATATTATGGCGCTTTTGGTACATTATCAGTGGACAATGCCTTGCCAATATTGAAATAAAATTGTAACTGTTGTGAATCATTTCATTAGAAAGTTTAAGTCACCTTGGTACAGTGGCTCATATATGCACCCATAATCCCAGCATTTGGGGAGGCAAAGAGGGGAGGATTGCTTGAGGCCAGGAACTCAAGACCATTCTAGACAACATAGTGAGACCCAGTCTTTACAACAACAACAACAACAACAACAAAAAAAAAAAAAAAAACCTTTAGGTATCTAGATATCCATAAGATACATCCCCAAGATTTGGTAGGTGAGCAGTATTGAAATATTCATCTGAAGAATAAAAATATGAAGGACTATTTTTGTAAGCAGATAGCATTTAAAAAAATGCAATAAAATTCTGTCTAAAAATGGAGACAGGATTCTTCAATATGTATGATTAGAGGAGAATAAAAGACACTCATTGACCACATATGGTCTAGCATGGTTAAAAACATCTGGATTAAGCATTTACTTTTGCTTCTTGATTCCAATAAATATTAGTAGAAAGTGATTAAGGAATAGTAAGAGTACTAAATGGAATAAAAGATAGGAGCCTGAAGTGTAAAAATTTTCTCTGTCCTTAGTAATTTATAGGTATTAATGAGATAATATTAACAATGACAAAACAAATCCTTCCTTCTTTCCTTCCTTCCTCACTTCCCTTCCCTTCCCTTCCCTTCCCTCCCCTTCTCTTCCTTTCCCTTCCCTTCCCTTCCTTCCCCTCCCCTCCCCTCCCCTCACTTCCCCTCCCCTCTTCTCTTCTCCTTTTCTTTTCTTTTTTCTTCTCTTTTCTTTTCTCTTCTTTTCTTTCTTTCTTTCTCAGGGTCTCACTCTGTTGCTCCAGCTGGACACAGGACAACAAACAGCAGCTATCTGGCATAACAATTCTCAGAATGGTGATGGAGATTATTTGAACACATGTGAGAATTTTCTCATTGCTCCCCAAAAGCAATGAGATTTCTCATCACAGGAGTCGGAGGTCTTGCATAAGCAAAAGAGGCATGCAAGTCAGAAACAAAGTCAGATCTCTGCTGAAGTCATCCGTAAATATAAGGAATGACATTTTGTGAGCAATGCACTTTATATCACATTAACAAGCCTGAGCTTTTCTTTTATGGAATGACCCTGAAATGGATACAACAGGGAATGATGAAGATCTGTCAAGCTGAAGAAATACAACGGTGTGATCATAGCTCACTGCAGTCTCAAAGTCCTGGGCTCAAGATCCTCCCACCTCAGCCTCCTGAGCAGCTTGGAGTTTAAGCAAGGTCCACCACACCTGTCTAGTATTTTATTTTTTGTAAATGTTTCTGACTTGTATACCTCTTTTGCTTACGCAAGACCTCAGATTCCTGTAATGATAAGTCTCAATGCTTTGGGGGAACAAGAAGGAAAGTCTCACATGTGTTCAAACAATCTCTATCACTAATCCAAGAATTGTTATGCCAGATAGATGCTGCTTGTTGTCCCGTGTCCAGCAAAGACTCTGGAGCCCCTCAGTTGCAAAAGCTGCTGAGTGTTCTGTTAAATCCTATTATTTTCCATATGGTAGAATAGAGAGTGGTCTATTTTAAATAAATTTGACTATTTATTTTAATCCAAAAAAGTAATAAATTAAAATTAATACACTTGGTTACTTAATTTAATTAGACAAAATATATATAAGCAGCTCAATGGTCTTCACTTTTGATGGCCTCCAGAGAAATGATAAAATTTTCACATCATTTTAATAAAAACACAAAAGAGAATAGAAATGGGAATGAAAGCCATTAGCTTGAAATTCTTCATGAGATTTAAGACAGACAAAGATGTGTTGTGGCCTTGGATAGTAAATAATTTAAAGGTGTATTACTTCCCTTCAAGCAATTGTATTGATGTCATTAAAATATTCCTCTTTACTTTTTAGTCAAAAACATAGTTTAGTGGTTGAGATCAAATCTAAGATGGCTAGACAATCTGTCACTTTTAAGTGAGTACAAATGACATGTTTTTTTTTTTTAAAAAAAGAAGAGACTATGTCATTCATACAGTAAACATTTATTAGAGGCTTATCCTGAGCATGATAATCTGTGTATGTTGAGATAACAATTAAAAAATCAGATTTGGATACTACACGTGAAAATTGTGTAATCTGATAGAAAACATATGATCAAAATAAGATCTTTTAAAGTGAAGCGCTTTAACTAAACCTGTATATGAAGCGCTTTAACTAAACCTGTATATGTGTAATAGCAACAATGGCAAATAAAGTGTTTACTGTGCACAGGTATTCTTTTTCTTTTAATGTATTTGTTTATTTATTTGCTTGTTTGTTAGAGAGGGAATCTCACTCTGCCGCCCAGGCTGGAGTGCAGTGGCATAACCATAGCTCACTGCAGCCTCGAATTTCTGGGCTCAAGACATCGTCCTGTCTCAGCCTCCTGAGTTGCTGGGATTACAGCATGAGCTACTATGCTTGGCTCTTGTATTCTTTTATGTTCTTTTCATTTGTTAACTCAATGAGTCCTAATAAAACTCATTTAGTTAGGTGCTATTATTATCCTCATTTTCCGTGGTTCCACTAAAGTTTGAGTAAGCTTCAAGTTCACAGTGCTAGCAAATATTAGAGACAGATTTTGAGCCAACACAGAGTTGCTTAAAAGTTTTTATTATTAAACACTATTTCGTAGTGTAATTCAGATTAAGGAATTACAATTAGCACAGAAATGTATTCAGGAATATATATGTGATATACAAAGGGTGGTAGTTATTCAGTATTGATACTAAAAAGCATAAACATTGTATAGAAATCATTAGGGATGATTATAATACAGAGTTTTTGGAATAACCACTTCAAGACATGAGATTATTTTCCAACTTGCTAAGAAAATTATGTGTTCTTGAGGAGAAAAATGGGGACATCTGACATACACAATCATAAGATAAAACTCATAGCAATGTTTACTTTGAGTTAAAGGAAGGGGTACACTGGAAGAAGTGAGAGCAGTTAGCATTTTCAAAAAATTTTCTTTTGTTATTAAACTGTATTACTTGATTTCTAGTTCATTCATAATTTTCATTTATTATTCATTTTATTAAATTATTGATTTTTTTACTTTTCTAGATTCTTGAGTTGGAAATCATATCTTATCTTTAATAGCCCATGTTATGGCAGACAAAATTGGTCACCCATAGTGCAGCCATTTTCATGATCGTGGTATCAAGAGTGATAGCTTTGCTCAGATGGTCATCTAGTATTTAAAGAAAACATAAAAAACAATCAATTGTGTTCTATCCTTTGCTCTGATTTTACTATTTTCTATGTTTAGTCTCCAGTGTGTATTTGGTTTCTTAAAATACTCTCACAAGCAAATTTATACATATTTCTATGATATTGCCATGTAATACTGTCCATAATTTAATCTTCAACATGTTAACTTAACTTTGCCGTATGTATACTTAAAACATAAGTTCTTCCACAGTAGAATGTGTTCCTGAAATCAGAGAAAAACCAGTATGTTACCGAAGGAAGTAATGAAGTCAATAGAGACAGAGAACAATATTTGTAGATGTATTAACAAAGGCTAATTCTTGAGCTGCTGTTATCGTGGTTTTTTTAAACATTTTAAATTTTTATTTACCCTTTCATCCAAAGTAAATAAATATGTTGATTAATAGTAATTCAATTTCTGTTACAAATGTTTTGTTATTTTCTTAAATGTACTTTTCAAGGCAATTTCCCAATGAGTATTTTCTGCTGAGAAGCATATACTAATTATTTAATGAAAGAAAAGTAGTCTATAATAACTCTCTCTCACTCTCCTCTTTCTCTCCCTCTATTTTCTCTTTCTCTCTCCCCCTCTTTTCTCTTTCTCTCTCCCCTTCATTAATCATTTATATACTAGGGAAATTTTTAAGCTTTCTATTAAATTTATCCTAGATAAACTTGATGCAATATTTCCTTAAAAAAAACTTTATTAATAATAAATTAACTTCTCTGTGAACTAAAACATTACAGAAAACAAAATTGTCAGCTTCAGAATTTATTAAATCAAAAAGGCAATTGTTTTTCATTTCCAAAATGATATCTTAAGAATGAATGCTAAATATACAAACTGACAATTTCAATCTGTTAATAGAAATTATAAAGATAGGCAAAAATAATGAATAGTATAATAAATGCCCCCGTTTCCACCATTAAGATTCAAGAATTATCCTCATTCAGCCAATCTTGTTTTATCCCTATTTTCTCTACCGCTTTTTTGTTTTAGCTAGAGCATTGAAATGCAAATTTCAAGTTTATCATTTCACTCTTAAATATTTCCATATAGATAATGAACAGATAAGCGTCTTTTAAATTATAATCAAAATGCCATTATCACGTCACCAAATTTGTAATATTTCCTCAATAATGTCCAATACAGCCCATGTTCAATTATCTCAAAGTGTATTTTTGTAGTTCATTTTATTGGGTTGCAGACAAGGTTCACATACTGGTTTACTTGACATATTTTTTAATTTTTTTAAAACTTAAAACAAAATTCTCACTTTAAACCGGGTCATTTGACTTATAGAATTTCGTGATTGCTTCCTCATCTTCTTAACTGAGAAAACAAGAGGCTTGATTAGATTAGTGTTCATTTGTTAGGGATAGCAATGTTTCTTTAAAGGTGATATATTCCTTTTTGTACCATATCAGGAGGTTCATAATGTCTGTTTGTCCCTATAACTGAGAAGATTGAGAAGTAGGTTCAAGTGTTTTTAACCTCATCCATCCATTGTAAAGTTTCCCATTAACCTTCTGCCTAATGGCTTTAGCATCCACTGATGATCATAGCCTCAATATATTATTTAAAAGGGGTTTCAAAGTAGTAATTTTCTAATTTCATCATTCCTTTTGCATCTGCTAGCGCAATTATCTGACAAAAGCAAAAAGATGATTTTCCTTATCAAATATTAGGATATTCTGAGTTTGTTTAGAAAAGGAAGAATAATTACATGCTTATTTTTCCCCACTTTTATTAATTTTGAGAAAAAATATATGATGTTTTAGAAACTTTCGTAGTTGAATAATAAATATATTTTAGTATCACTATGAACTCATATTTTTAGATATTTGAAAAGTTTTGGCCTCTTGCCCTCATAAGATGTTCAACTCTAATGAGTGAAAGCCCTTTCAGGGGCTCCTGTTTCCCTTTGGCACGGCCTCAGTAGCATTTGATACACTCTGTACTTTGTCACATCGCCTTGTCTCAGGCTTACCCAGTGCCGTTCACAAGACCTGAAAGTGGCTGTTTCTCTAAGAAACTGTAATTACCTTAATGGGAAGTGGTCTTAAAAATCACATTATGGATTCTAATGGTACTTATTGTAAAAAAAAATTTTAGTTTTTTGAGTTAGAAAATATATATTGATTAAATGGAAGAAACAAAATATCAGTTTATACTGGTATTTCAAATTTATATTCAGGGTCACATTTTTTTAACCTATACACTTATGTATGTTGTTATGCTGAAAAAAATCTTGCTTTCTAACAAAGTAAAATAATTAGTTGTTTAGTTGTGTTATCCAAAAATATGCACATAATCATTTATATCTATATATCTATATATATATATATCTCTCTCTCTCTCTCTCTCTATATATATATATATATATATATATATCATTATTACTGGGAACTAGAAGATGACTGAATGCAGCTTGGGATTGTTTTAATCCTTTTCATGTGTCTTACCAGAAATGTGCAGTCAAAAGATTGTACTTTACTATCACTTGAAATAATTCTCTGTTATGCTCCAAATGGATATACATATTTAAGTACATTTGTTTCAGTTTCCTTTCAGTTTTTAGGAATTTCTTTTTCAGTTTTTTATGATTTGTGACTATTATTATTAAATAAAACACTATTTAGTTCCAAATTCCACATTATAACATAAGCTTATTAAAAGAGAGTTCATTAAGAGAAGCCTAACTCTCGTCTCCATCCCTTCCATTCCTTTCTTCCTCATACCCTTTCTTCTTAAGTTTTAAGTTTATTCTCTCATATTTCCTTTATTGAAATATGAGTGAGTATGTTTGAACACACCTACACATATTTACTTCCCCTACCTTTTATATTATCATGGCATACTATAAGACTTCATCATGTAAATAATTAAATATAGTGTTTTATTATACTTAATAAAATGTATGGTTCTGTACATTTTCTCCCCAACCCCCATAACCATATATTCATGGAATAGGTGTATATTAATATTTAGTTTCCTTTCTTATAATCTTTTTATTCAATTTTTACCATCCTTTAGGTAAAGCTACCAAAGTTTATTCAACTGGTGCATACTCATGGATATAGCTGCATATATCTGTCAAAGACATTGCTATTCAAACATAAATATTAGATCTTGTGAGTACAAGCATTCTTTATTAAAAAAACTTTTTATGTATAAGAAATAAGTATAAGAAACTACTTTATAAATGATTAATATTCTTTAGAATAAAAATATAGGGATTGAAAGCAAAAGCAGGTTAAGAAAAAGAAAGAAAGAGAAAGAAGTGAAGAAAGTAGGAAACAAATCACAATAGTAATAGATTCTGCAAATCAAAAATATTTAAGGCATTTTAATTTTCACAGAAAATCAAGAATAAAATAATACCTTCTATAGGATAATAAACAAGAGAGTAGATATGAAGAAGGGATAGGTTGGTATTCCAAAATAAAAAAATAGTACAAATAGAATAAAATAAAAATATGCAGGAAATGAAGATCTGATTTTTATGTTAAAAAAACTAACCTGATATTAGCAAAGTAGAAAATTTCTCCTTTTTTTAACTTAAAACTTCAGGGAAATACACTTCAAAAATTTAGAGAGAAGATACGTTTGAATTTTGATACATAAAGTAACATTTTCACGGTTTTTTCACTGTTGTTTTAGATTTCAAAAGGTAAAGGATTATTATTTAGGGAGAACTGCTTTACAAAAAGTCGTGACTAGGACAAAGCAGGAAAGATCTAAAATTAACACACTAACATCACAATTAAAAGAACTAGAGAAGCAAGAGTAAACCAATTCAAAAGCTAGCAGAAGACAAGGAATAACTGAGATCATAGCAGAGCTGAAGGTGATAGAGACACAAAAAACCCTTCAAAAAATCATTGAATCCACAATCTGGTTTTTTGAAAAGATTAAGAAAATAGATAGATCACTAACCAGACTAATAAAGAAGAAAAGAGAGAAGAATCAAATAGACACAATGAAAAACGATAAAGGGGAAATTACCAGTGATCCGACAGAAATACAAACTACCATCAGAGAATAATATAAACACCTCTACGCAAATAAACTAGAAAATCTAGAAGAAATGGATAAATTCCTGGACACATACAC
Organism: Homo sapiens; assembly: GCF_000001405.40. Classification (NCBI taxonomy): domain Eukaryota; kingdom Metazoa; phylum Chordata; class Mammalia; order Primates; family Hominidae; genus Homo; species Homo sapiens. The sequence goes on from NC_000002.12 coordinate 51,836,447, forward strand.
CCTCCCAAGACTAAACCAGGAAGAAGTTGAATCCCTGAATAGACCAATAACAAGTTCTGAAATTGAGTCAGTAATTAATAGCCTACCAACCAAAAAACGCCCAGGATCAGACGGATTCACACCCGAATTCTACCAGAGGTACAAAGAGGAGCTGGTACCATGCCTTCTGAAACTATTCCAAGCAATAAAAGAGGGAGTCCTCCCTAACTCATATTATGAGGCCAGCATCATCCTAATACCAAAACCTGGCACAGGCACAACAAAAAAAGGAAATTTCAGGCCAATATCCATGATGAACATTGATGCGAAAATACTTAATAAAACACTGGTAAACTGAATCCAGCAGCACATTAAAAAGCTTTTCCATCATGATCAAGTTGGCTTCATCTCTGGGATGCAAGGCTGGTTCAACATATGCAAATCAGTAAATGTAATCTGTCACATGAACAGAACCAATGAGAAAAACCACATGATTATCTCAATAGATATAGAAAAGGCCTTTGATAAAATTTAACACCCCTTCATCCTAAAAACTCTCAATAAACTAGGTATTGATGGAATATATATCAAAATAATAAGAGCTATTTATGACAAACCCACAGCCAATATCATACTGAATGGGCAAAAGCTGAAGCATTCCCTATGAAAACTGGCACAAAACAAGGATGCCCTATCTTACCACTCCTATTTAACAAGTATTGGAAGTTCTGGCCAGGGCAATTAGGAAAGAAAAAGAAATAAAGCGAATTCAAATAGGAAGAGAGGAAGTCAAATTGTCTCTGTTTGCAGATAATATGATTGTATATTTAGAAAACCCCATCATCTCAGCCCAAAATCTGTTTAGGCTGATAAGCAACTTCAGTAAAGTCCCAGGATATGAAATCAATGTGCAAAAATCTCAAGCCTTCCTATACATCATTAAAAGACAAACAGAGAGCCAAATCATGAGTGGACTCCCATTCAACTTCCAAAAAGATAATTTATACATGAAAACACTCAGAATGTATGCATCTTATACCTAGTATCTAATAGAAAGTAAAGCATCTGAATGATCAAGTCAGTTTAGTCCTGAAACAAATACTCTTATTTAAATGAAGCAATTTTAATTTTAAAAGATTAGCAGGACTATGTATAGATAAACATAAAATTGTTCTATTCCTTGCAAACATAATTATAGTAATTTCCATTAAAACATATATACTATAATAATTATTTAATGAAGTAGAAAATTTTCAAAATCTATAAAACAATGAAAATGAAGTGAAAATATATCTATAGAAAGTAAAGGTGAAGTATAAATCCAGAGTTTATGTATAAGTAATATATATACTATGGTATATATTTTTAATGGGGATTTAGTTTTTGTATAACCTTTTTTATTTGGAAGTTAATAGATTCTTACATGAAATTTATTCAAACATATGATAATCAACATAATAGGTCTAAAAGATAGTTTGATAAGCTCAAAAATCTAGGGGAGGATATCAGGTTGGTGAGAAATCAAGGAAACACCATAAAAGAAATTATTACCAAAAATAAAAGAAGCAATACTGGAAACAGAAAACAAAAGAAAGGGACAGAAAATGAAAGGAAGTTATGGTGTTGTAAGGAAATGCAAAATAAACTAAATTAGATAGTTTATGATTTAAAAGGAAGACAAGGAAACAGCAAACAAATGAAAGCAGAAGTACCCCTAAAAAATGAATACATAAGCACCAGTATTTTAATATTAGCATCACAATCATAGACAAGGCAAAGTTATAGACATTAAAAGCCAATCAATTGAAGATATCAATATAATTAGAAATTCTAGGCAAGAATACATCATTGCTATAGAATATAGCAAGAAGTATTTGGAAATAGAAAGTTAACTTTTCAGAAACATATATGAAGTTGCTACAAATATATACTTCTTTATGTAAAAAAGTGCCACAAAAAACCACAACATAATGTCACTTCTCACTCACAATAAATAGTAAAAATATGTTGAATTTTGCATGTTAAATGGGTAAATTACATGGTACATAAATTATATTCCAATAAAACTGTTAAAAACATACACCAGAGAATATCAAGGAATAAAAGACAAACTGGGAAAGCAAGCTCTGTAACACAAAGATACAAACACTTATTATTTGTAATAATGCCTATTGATCAGTGAAAAATTAAAATGGATGAAGGATACAGTCATTTTACAAAAATATACAAATAGCCAGCTAATAAATAGTTGAAAAAATAATTTCACCACTAACCTAAGAAATGAAATTAGAATTATCAATCAGATTTACTTTTATAAAAATAATTGCTGCTAAGTTTGGCATGGCTTAAAACAGTAATAACATCAACACTTGTAATAATGCGGAACAAAAATCTCTGTCAAAAGTTTGTTACCAGTTATTTAAATTGGTAAACTATTAGAAATACATACATGTCAGTATGATACCATGAATTATGCAAACTAGAAAATGGCATTTATACTACAAAATCTTTATTTTTAATGTTTTACTAAGGTATAAATTGCATGTAGTAAAATACACTAATTTAATGTTTACAACTCAGTAAGCACAAGTATCTATGAGAGTGTAACAACCATATCAGATGAGAATAGAGTATTTCTAGAACCCAGAGAAGCCACCTGTATGTCAGATCACAGTAAACCATCGAAAGAGTAATATTTATTTTTATTTTTATAAACATTGATTATTCAATATAATGCCTGTGAAATTCATCTATGCAGTGTGTATCAGTATACTGTTCTTTTTTATAGCAATGTATTATACATTTAATATAACACCATGTATTTACTCATTCTATTGTTGAGAGGCCTATAATTGTTCATAATTGTCTCTTTTGGTCTTGTTTATTTTTGTTGCATGGATTGTAATGTCTCTCCTTTCCTTTTTGATTTTATTTATTTGAGTCCTCTCTTTTTTTCTTAGTCTAGCTAAAGATTTGTCAATTTTGTTTATCTTTTCAAAAACTTGTTAGTTTTGTTGATTTTTTTCTTATTACTTTTATAATCTCATTTTTATTTATTTCTACTCTGATCTTTATTTCCTTCCTTCTGCTAACTTTGGATTTTTTTTCTAGTCCCTTGAGGTATAACATTTGCTTGTTTATTTGAGATCTTTCTTCTTTTTTGCTAAAGGTGTTCATTGCTATAATTTTGTCTTCTTGGAACTGCTTTTGCTATATCCCTTAAGTTTTGGTATGTTGTATTTTTATTTTCATTTGTCTCAAGATTTTTTTTTAATCTTTCGATTTCTTTGATTCGTTGGTTGTTTAGGAGTATGTGTTAATGTGTATAGGTTTTTGGTAAGACTTCCAGTAAACATTAGACTACTAGTAGTTAATCTTTGGCAAGTCAAAATTTATATTCAAATTTTCAAGTGTATGGGGGGTTGGCACCCCTAATCCATATGCTGGTCAAGGGTCAACTGTATTTATATTCTGTACCTATTAATATATTTTTAGTGATAGTTATTTTTAATACTTTTGTCTTTTAGTTTTTATATTAGAATTAAAAGTAATTTCCCCAATGCTATTACAGTAGTACAGTACTCTGCATTTGTCTATATATTTATCTTTACAACAACTTTTATACTTTGCCTTTGACTTTTAACAATTTGATTATAATGTGTCTTGGGCTGAGCATGATGGCTCATGCCTATAATACTAACAAATTGAAAGCCTGAGGCAGAAGGATTGCTTGAACGCTGAAGTTTAGAACTAGCATGGGCAATATAGTAAGACTTGGTCGCTATAAAAAAAATTTAAAAATAGTTTATCCAGGTGTGATGGAGCATGTCTGTATATAGTCCTAGCTACTTGGGAGGCTGAGGTGGGAGGATTACTTGAGCCTGGGAGTTTGAGGCTACAGTGAGATATGATCACATCAGCCTGCACTCCAGGTGTGGGTCCTAGAGTAAGAGTATATATACATACCCACATACTGTATCTCAGTATGGATTTTTCTTTGCATTTATCTTATTCAAAATCTTTTGGGCTTCCAGGATCTGAATATTTATTTCTTTCCCCAGGTTTGAGAAGTTTTCAGTCATTTTATTTATTTATTTATTTATTATCTTTTGCATTTTTAGCGAAGATGGGGTTTCACTGTATTGCCCAGGCTGGTCTGAAACTCCTGGGCTTAAATGATCCACCTGCCTCAGCCTCCCAAAGTGCTGGGATTACAGGCATGAGCCTCCACACCCAGCCAATCATTATGCTTTAATCAGCTTTCTGATTCTTTCTCTTTTCTCCTTCTGAGACGCATATAATGCATATATTGGTCCACTTGATGATGTCTTATAGGAATGTTAACCTATCTGCACTCTAGTCTTTTTCATTCTTTTTTTTTTAACTCCTCCTCTGACTGGATAATTTCAAATGACTTGTCTTCATCTTCTCTGTCCTTTCTTCTGCTTGCTCTAATCTGCTGTTGTACACCTCTATCAAAAATTTTAGTTCACTTATTACATTCTTCAACTCCTAGGTTTCTGTTTGGTTCATTTAAAAGTTTTGTATCTCTTTGTTAAAATTCTCTTTTAGTTCATGCATTGCTCTCTCGAGCTCATTGAACATTTTTATGACAATTATTTTCAATTCTCTGTCAGTAAATCACACAGCTCCATTTTATTACGATTTGTTTTTGGAGTTTTGTCTTGTTTTTTTGTCTGTTTGTTTGTTTGTTTCGATTTTGTGTTCCTGTTTCTTAAATTTCCTTGGCTCTTTTTGTTGGTGTTCATGCAAATAGGAAAATAAAACAAACTTTTATTTCTCCCAGTCTTTATGTATTGGTCTTGTAGAATATAAGACCTTTACTAATGTAACAGGTCACAGTTTCCCTGAGCCTCTCAGACCTTTGTGCTAGTCCAAACTGGTGTGCTTGTTCTATGTGGACCCCAGTTATCTACATAACGTCAGGTTTCCTCAGCACTCTGAGAGAGATAGGACAGAAGCCAGTTTCCCAGATAGCCCCCAGATGAGTTAGAACACTTTATATATGGTTAAATCTTTTCCCTCCCAGGAAAAAGCTGGGAGCTTTTTTTTGTTTGTTGGTTTGTTCCTGTTCTTGTTTCTGTTTGTTTGTTTGTTTTTGTCTGTTAGTTTCATGTTGAACTGAAGGGTGTAGGGAAAAGCTGTGGTGATTGTTCTCACACTTGTTCAAACTACCACATTGTTCTCTGTAACCCCCAGGGGACTAGCTTATTATCTGGCCCAACATCACTCCAACACAGACAATATGGAACCTTCTTGGATAGCACCCAGAAAAATCTGGATGCTAGATGTGTGGTTTGAAGCCTTCACTCCTCAGGGAAAGATTGGGAGCTGGAAGTTCCCTTTGATTCATATAGTACTGTACCAGGGGTGGGAATTATGGACACAAAATGTCTCTGCTTTTCTTACAAGTTTTACTGTGTGGTTGGTTTTGTACTAGCTTGGATGTAAGAGCCTCTGAAATAGTTTTGAGACTTTTCACAAAGAATATTAATCCATGTGTTGCAGTTGAATCAGTGTGTCTTTTGTGGAAGGAAAGTCCAGACCTTTCTATTTCATGATCTTAGTGATGTTACTCCCTAAAACATGTCTTTACTTTGGCTGTATAAGTCTTCCTATTTTAAATGTCTTTTGCAAGACTGTTTTGTCTATTTTATAGTCATTGCATCTCCAAAATTTTTCTTGAACATTGATTGATATTCAAGTGAATGTTTAGCATAATTAAATCAATTTAGGGAGAACAGAAACGTTAATACCAAGTCACTATATGAGCATTTATTGAATTATTTTCTGATTTTTCTCAGCAATATATTAAGAGTTTCCAGTGTGGAAATCTTTCCCAAATTTAATTTCATAAATCCTAGGTATTTTATGTGATTTGATGCAATTTTAAATAATAATATTTTATATAATTTGCAATTGTATGCAGATAAAATGTTTGTATATCAATTTTGTGTGCATTGACTTTACTGATTCACTTATTCTAAATTTTTATTTATTCTTCTAGAATTTTAAAGTAATAATGACATTCTGAAAATAATAGTTTCACTTCTTCCTTGTCAATTTTTTTTATACCTCTTAGTTCTTTTTTTAAAATTTATTGCATAGACTGTAGGCTAATACCTCTAGTAAAATGTTGATTAGAACAATAATAGTAGACATCTTTGATATTTGCCCAAGGTATGAGAAAAACATTCAATAATTTCTCATTAAGCGTGATGTTAGTTATAGGCTTTCTTTGTAAATAACTCAGATTATAAAAGCCTGTTTCTATTCTTAGCTAGCTAAAGTTTTTTTTTTTTTTGGTTTTTTATTGTTTTGTTTTTAAATAAATGAGTATCATAATTTATCAATGAACTTCATGCCTCTATTAAGATGACAATGATTTTTATTCTTACTGATTGGCAAAATGTTAAACCAACCTTGCATTCTTGGAATAAAGCCCATTTTTTAAAATTTTTATTTTATTTTTATTTTTTAATTTTTTGAGACAGAGTTTCACTCTTATTGCCCGGGCTGGAGTGCAATGGCATGATCTTGGCTCACCACAACATCCGCCTCCTGGGTTCAAGTGATTCTCCTGCCTCAGCCTCCCTAGTAGCAGGGAATACAGGCATGTGCCACCAAGCCCGGCTAATTTTGTATTTTTCGTAGAGGTGAGGTTTCTCCATGTTGGTCAGGCTGGTCTTGAACTCCCAAACTCAGGTGATCCACCCACTTAAGTCTCCCATAATGCTGGGATTACAGGCATGAACCACCCTTCCGGGCCTGTAAATGTGTTTTTTTGTTTGTTTTTGTTTGTTTGTTTATCATGTTTGTTTATTGCTACCCATAGATGCTAATGAAAGATTTTAACCTGTAATCTTGCTGTTTTATGACTTTTGATATTAGGGTTGTGCTAGCCCCATCAAACAGATTAAAAAGTAGTCTCTCATTTTATTTTTTAGATAACCGTGTATAATATTGGTATTATTTATCCCTTTAACATTTGAAGAAACTCATCAGCAAAGCCATCTGGGGGTAGGTTATCTTTCCTTCTTTCCTTATTTGCTTCTTTCTTGCCTCCCTGTCTTTTGCCTTTCTCTCCCCTTTTTGGAAATTTTTGGAATACAGATTCACTTACATTAACAGTTATTAAATTACTCAGCTGTCATAATATTTTTTGCAGTAGTGTTAATGCCTGCTACTCTATAATGACCACATTGAAGCAGTGTAAATTCTTTTCTAAATTAATAAAATGTTGTTAATGTATTTCTGTACATAAATATAAAATATTATAGAACATTTTTAATTGAGGCAGTTTTAAACTCTGGATAGTGATTTAGTGATCATTCACTTTTGTGTTTGTATTCTTGTGTGTTTTATGATTTATTTTCCAAATAGAGTACATGTATCACAGTGAGAAAAGCAATGGGATTTATTCCTTTAAAAAAGTTCTAACAAAAAAATATAAAGATATTTGTTACTTTCACACAGTTAGAGTATTATTTTAATTAAACTAATAGCAGAGACAGTAAACATGATGATGAATTTTAATAGAAGTTGAAAAGATTTTCTTTGTTTCCTCTTTGTGACAATCAGTGTGAGCCCCTTGGAAATAGAAACTGTGTGAATCCTAAACACTATAGTGTAACAGCATACTATGATTGTTAACAATTCCTATGATATCTATTACTTTAATAATCTCAGTCATTATCTTGATTTCTCAATTCCTGTGTATAGATGACAAATTTGATGGAGAATTCATTTTTCCATTTTATATGTCTATGCATGCTTATAGGCAGAATTTAATGAACACATCAATAAAGACTCTTTAGGTGAATAAACAGAATAAGAAAACAAAATCCATTTTATCTACCACACTAGGAATGCAGAGATTATCTTTGTTATTCTGAAGCGCAGGTAGCTAACAGAAGCAGCTGTTTATCCCTTTAAAATACACAGCTGTTTATGCCTTTAAAATACACAGCTATATTCACCAATATTCTCATTCAGCCGGTCTAAGGAAGGGTCCTGGAATGCAAGGTTCTCAAAACCTTCATGTGGTTCTTATATCTTATCAAGTATGGGAACTACTGTTATTCTATTTATTACTTTTGCTTTAAAATACCTACAAAGATTATAGAGGGGCAAATCTGCATATTTATTGTATTGTTGTTAGGACGGCGTTTCTCTAGCACTATTGACATTTTGGGATAGGTAATTTTTGTTGTAAGGGGCTTTCCTGTGCATTATACATTGTTAAGCAATATCCATAGCCTCTACCCACTAAATTCCAGTTGCATACTCTACTCTAATTGTGAAAATAAAATGCTACCAGTTGAGAACACTGGGTTAAAACAACTGCCCTTTATATGAAATAAAGAAAGCAGCTCTACAATTTGTGTAAATGGCTAAATTATCATGTAAATAAGAAAGCAATAAAACTCAGGAGCAGAGCAATGAATATGTCAGAACTGCATAGCTTTTTTAACTCAGCAGGTGTGTCCCCCGTTTCAGATACTCAGTATCACAGCCAGCCTCCAACACCCTTCCATGTTCAAGGTCCAGATTCCTTCATACTGACCATTTTTATATTAACTTCTTTTTTGCCCCATGACATTGTGTCTTTTTTGTTTATATCTGTACATCCTTTTTAAAACATATTTGGCAAATGAATCCCATTTCTTACATGTGGTTCTTGATTTCTGATAACAAGATCCCTTCCTTGACCAATACCTGAACTAACCATCTTAATTATACTCCTTCTATTTTCTTGAGTGAAACACAGTATCTTATCCAGACCCCATGCTCCCTACATATCTAGCACAGGTAATCACAGCTGTTGACTTTGAAGATTCATCCTAGTTCTGTACACATTTTCCAGTCACTTTGCTACATGGACAGGAATCACAGGGTCCTCCCTCTCATAGGAGCTGAAAGAGTAATGTATCAGGCTTTGTTTAAGACTGATGCCAGGGAGCCCCTGGACTGGAGAAGGCGTCTATTATTTGGAAGTGTAGATTAGGGAAGTTCTTAGAATCTCACGTATAGTCACAATTCTTAATTAGGACCTGATATGATTTGGCTCTATTATCATCTTGAATTGTAATCCCCATGTTTTGAGAAAGAAACCTGGTGGGAGGTGACAGGATCATGGGGGCATTTCCCCCCATGCTGTTCTCATGATAGTGAGTGAGTTCTCATGAGATCTGATCAGGTGGCGGTTTCCTCTACACTCTTTGTCACCTGCTGCTGTGTAAGATGTGCCTTGCTTCCCCTTGGCCTTCTACCATGATAGTAAATTTTCTGAGGCCTCCCCAGCCATGGGGAACTGTGAGTCAATTAAACCTCCTTTCTTTGTAAATTACGAAGTCCCAGATAGTATCTTTATAGCATTTATAGCAGTGTGAGATCAGACTAGTACAAGACCTTAAAATTAAGTCTGAGTGAACAGGGAGATAATGTGCTGGTTACATGGTTAAGACGTTAATGAAGATCATACCTGCCTTGATTTGAAGTGAATAAAAGCCTTAGAATGGGGACACTTAGAACCACTTCCTTGAGGATTCTGCTGTGTACTGTTCATACAAACCCAATGACCCAAAGCACAACTGAATGAATGATAAGGAAGGTACAGAGGATGTACATCCATTTTATTGCTGGATGCACCTGTGCAGACACTAAATGGGTGACAGTAAAGGGGAAGATTTACTACTGTTTCCTTGCAAGGTTAATAACCAGCAAGTTGTGCAGAACACTCAGCCTTCTGGGATTGAAAAAATGCTGAGTAGACCAGAAAGTCCATCTGCCTTGTGCATACTAACCTGGCAAATATACTGTTAATCCTAATCTTTCTTACCATGTATCATTCACACCAAACACCCCATGACAGTTTCAGGTGGTGGATGTTTTACAACACCTATTTCCAATACAATCCTTAGAGGTTGCCTGAGAAGAATTGGGAGAGGGGATTCAAAACCCATTAGAGTTTATTTTTTCCCTCAAAAACACTAGCTGTTTTGGCTAAATTTTTGAGGTGGGCCTCATTTGAAAATCTCACAAAAAAGAATATTTTGTGTGTTTTAATATTCTGGAAATTGGTTTGGCTGTCAGGACAGAAAGAAATCTGGAGTATTATCCATGAGACTCTGCAAGCTATGAGCTCAAAACAGATATCATGTGATACTTCAGTAATGCTGACAGGGCTGGTTGTTTACTTGGAACTAACCCTGTGTGAAGATCTATGGGAGATACAAAGATAAGTGACACCTCCATGACATAAGTGAATATGATTCAGGGACTTGTGAACTCTAATAGAGACACTTTTAGCTCATAACCTTTGAGCACTCATGATGACTGGAGTGGACCACTGGGTCATTAAAGGGGCCAGCCCTTTCTTAAAGGAATAATCATACATATATCAGTAGTAGGAATATAGTGGGCTTCTCAGTGATTCAGGACATGGGATAGACAAAGTTGACTTACACCAAAAAATACTAATATTGTGGATGTGTGGCTACATGCCATAGTAACTAGTCAGTCCTGATGTTTGATATGTGTAATCATATCATTCCAAGGGGTTGAAAGCATACACCTTATTCCAGAACTATTAAGGGGTAGTGAATCATTAGGCCTGGTACCAAATTAGGCAAATACTATAGTATGAATGAAAAGATAATGGAGTACTTCACAGATAGCAAACAGATACAAAAAAAGTGCATGGTGATTATATGTGAAATAATTTTATTTCTCTAACAAGAGGAACCTAAAATGAGGTGAGAATACATGATGTATTAATACACTATTGGCCAAATTTTGGAAGAAGATGGTTGCTAACAGTTTGCCTGGAAATGTCAGAAGAAAAACAGATTGGTTCCCCAAGCCTGAGACTTTACAGAGTTTTCTTTCCTTAAGGTGCAAACATACTCCCTGTTTATATATACATAATTAACCTGAGCCTTATATCTGGGGGAGTAGATCAGAACTTGAAACATCATGGCCCATGTAATTGTTTCTCATATTAGGCATTACAACATGAATTTGGAAAAAGAGTAGAACTTGTAGTGCACTAATAATTTGATCTACTGATTATGAGGATTTGACATGAAGCATATAAAAACTGGTATTAGTCTCTAGAAAGAAGTTTTTGAGATTAAAATGTACTTTCTTATATAAATCCCAAAGTAGTAGGTGATTAAAGTCACACATGTGATTTGCGAAATGGCCACTATACTTTTAAATATATTTCAACCATATGGTAACTGTCTTAGAAAAATACATCAAAGTAATGGCAGTATGAAAAATGTTCTGTGAAACTGCATGAACTCTTATGTATCATACGTAATAATGGAGGGATATATGCCTTTTAGGGGAAAATGGTGCAATTACAATCTAGACAACTTTCAAAACTTAGCAGAAAACATTTGCTGGTAGAATATACCTATAAGAAGTAATACAATTTCAACAAATCACAGATAATGCCTGAGATATGTGGTCCTGAGTTGCATTACTTAGATGGAAAGGAGAAATTTGCCTATTAGTTATATATCTACTATTATAATATTATGTGGTCGTACATGTGTGTAGGCATAGAAAAAAATGTTTCAAAGTGTTAACTAGTGAATGTTTTCATCAGTTGAAGGAGACCATAGCATGAGTCTGTGTAATCATAAGGTATTGCTCAGGACCTAGGGTTGACCATCCCCAGCCCTGCCAAAGAGGTCAGCTGTGATAAACTAATCAGTCCTGCTGTTTGAAAACCACCTATTCATTCTGGAACAATGCTAAATTGTCTGCAATGCAAACCTTAGGAAAATGTCTATACCATGTAATATAATAAAAAAATATTGAGAACTCATATATTAGGTCCAGATGACATTGTAGTTAGAATGAAAGTTCATAGATTGAGATGTTACTGATGCAGCTTCAGGTTTCCCAAGAAGGGGGTCCTCTAAGCAGACCAGATCCTTTCTCTATGTGGGTTATTTATGCCCATGATCCGAGAGCACTCTTGTCAAGAGACAAAGAGGCTGGTGAAGACTCATTCCCACTTAGACTCCTACAAATGTGCAAACTTCTAAGAGGTAGAATAGAGTTTATTATTTTGTATTAGAATTAGGTTACTCAAGGCAAAATGGAAGGTTTCACTTACATTCTCAGTAGTCAATATGCATTAGTAGAGTTTAACTACAGTCTAAATGTTTCAATGCTTATGAAAAATATGCCTTTGCTCACCAAAAATTTTCTGGTTTTGTTTGATTTATCAGCCACCATTAACAGAATAAGTGAAAATTCTCAGGGTCTATAGTTATGCATTGGATTATCTTCAATTTATGACACTTTTAGGTACCTTTTTAGAGTTTTTAGAGATTTGTAGGAGATTAATTTGCCTGAATACACAGTCAAAAAAAAAGGAGGCCTCAGAAAATAATCCAATGTTGAAGAGCTGAGGAAAGCAAAAACAAGGAAGATTCAGAAATGAGAAATGAGGGGAAATACTAGAGGTAGTGACCCAGTACCCTGATGGCTGTCAGATTCTTCTCGTTTTATTGACCATGTTCTTTTAAATGGGACTAGGGGACCAGAGTATTCATCAAGTATCACTGGTGTGTTGGACACTTATTTTGCCTTACTTCATATCTTCTCTGCCTAACCTTTACTCCGGACATTGTTAAGGCAAGCAGATGCATGCAGATGTAAACTAATAGCGCTTTGTCTCACCACGTTTACTTTCTTGGATTATTCTCCCGGGCTTTTGTAACTCAGTGCAGGGAAACCTGCATAAACCTACTTTGCACTTATGCATGTTTTACAAAAATCTCAATGCTGCGAACATCCTAATGGGACAGTTCCTGTATGATGAGAGAGAAGAGCTGATGAGAAATACTTCCTCTTTTTGTTCTTCTTGTGGGAAGTTGTGAGACTCCATATATAAATCTCCAAAGAAGGTCCCAATTAAGCAGCATTTTCCACATCAGGGAGCAATCCTAGAACTCACCCTGCTCTTGACTTTTCTTTTTCCCTCTTTCATTTTCTCATCCCACCCCACCAACTCCTGTGCCACAGGAATATTTCCCAAAATAAACTACTGCACATAAAACCTTGTCTGTGCTGCTGCTTTACCTAGGTTAATTCAGATACTCTACAGTGTGCCAGAAACTCTTAAGTCTTAGAAATACGAAATGAAGCAAACAAATAAATGAACAAGAACTCTTTTTATATACAACTTTCAATTTGGTGGGAAGGTAGGCAATAAACAAATGAGGAAATGTATATGTGATATGTAAGATAATAATAAAAAATAAATCAGTATAAGACAGAGAATGTCATTATGGGGAAGAACTTTTTTTAAAAAAACAGCTTTTAGATATAATTCACATGCCGTATAATTTATGCATTAAAAATGTACAATTCAATGTGGTTTTTTTTTTACTATATTTGCATTGTTGAGCAACCAATGCCATAAACTAATTTTGAAATATTTCCATCTTCTTAGATGAAACCCTGTGTCCATTAGCTGTCACCTCCCCATTGTTGCTCAGCCCCCTAACCATAACCAACAATCTTATTTCTCTGTAATGGACAACCTCTTTATTCAGGACATGTCATGTAAATGGAATCATACAATATGTGATCTTTTTGTAACTGCCTTCTTTTGCTTAGCATAATGTTTTCAGGATCAGCCATGCTTCTGTACATATTAGTTCTTTGGCAAAATACATTGTATGACTATATCATATTCTCTTTTTCTATTTATCCATTCATCACTTAATGGACATTTTGATTCTTTCAACTTTTTGACTATTATAAATAAAACTGCTATGAAATGTAATGTATAAATTTTTGTGTGGAAATGTCTTTCTTTTTCTCTCAGATATATATGTTAAATAAAAATTGCACCTTAGGAAGTTAAAAGGCAAGGGAATCTTTATTCAAACTCTTATAACACGAAGGGTGATTGAACTCAATTCTGCTGAAACAAAGAATAGGAAGTTTTTTAAATGCTAGAGTTTGTCAATTGAAACATACTGATGGACATTAGAGGGGAGGTTGGTTAATGTGATTAGGTCACCTGTGTTCACTAATAGTCTTTCATTAAAGTTAGGATTCTACGCTCCCACAGAGACTGGGAGGTAGAAACAATATTTTCTTCAATTATTATATTTGAAAGGGGGGGCTCCTTGAGAAAGACATTCCTGGATTCCAAAATTGGCAAGAGGCTGGGAGAAAGTTGATATCTCAGAGGGGAAGAGAAAAAAATGCAGTTGCAAGGTTTTCTTTTTTTTCTTTTTTTTTAAATTTATTTTTTATTTTTTTATTATACTTTAAGTTTTAGGGTACATGTGCACATTGTGCAGGTCAGTTACATATGTATACATGTGCCATGCTGGTGCGCTGCACCCACTAACTCGTCATCTAGCATTAGGTATATGTCCCAATGCTATCCCTCCCCACTCCCCCCACCCCACCACAGTCCCCAGAGTGTGATATTCCCCTTCCTGTGTCCATGTGATCTCATTGTTCAATTCCCACCTATGAGTGAGAATATGCGGTGTTTGGTTTTTTGTTCTTGCGATAGTTTACTGAGAATGGTGATTTCCAATTTCATCCATGTCCCTACAAAGGACATGAACTCATCATTTTTTACGGCTGCATAGTATTCCAAGTATCCCATGGTGTATATGTGCCACATTTTCTTAATCCAGTCTATCATTGTTGGACATTTGGGTTGGTTCCAAGTCTTTGCTATTGTGAATAGTGCTGCAATAAACATACGTGTGCATGTGTCTTTATAGCAGCATGATTTATAGTCCTTTGGGTATATACCCAGTAATGGGATGGCTGGGTCAAATGGTATTTCCAGTTCTAGATCCCTGAGGAATGGCCACACTGACTTCCACAATGGTTGAACTAGTTTACAGTCCCACCAACAGTGGAAAAGTGTTCCCGTTTCTCCACATCCTCTCCAGCACCTGTTGTTTCCTGACTTTTTAATGATTGCCATTCTAACTGGTATGAGATGGTATCTCATTGTGGTTTTGATTTGCATTTCTCCGATGGCCAGTGACGATGAGCATTTTTTCATGTGTTTTTTGGCTGCATAAATGTCTTCTTTTGAGAAGTGTCTGTTCATGTCCTTGGCCCACTTTTTGATGGGGTTGTTTGTTTTTTTCTTGTAAATTTGTTTGAGTTCATTGTAGATTCTGGATATTAGCCCTTTGTCAGATGAGTAGGTTGCGAAAATTTTCTCCCATTCTGTAGGTTGCCTGTTCACTCTGATGGTAGTTTCTTTTGCAGTGCAGAAGCTCTTTAGTTTAATTAGATCCCATTTGTCAATTTTGGCTTTTGTTGCCATTGCTTTTGGTGTTTTAGACATGAAGTCCTTGCCCATGCCTATGTCCTGAATGGTAATGCCTAGGTTTTCTTCTAGGATTTTTATGGTTTTAGGTCTAACGTTTAAGTCTTTAATCCATCTTGAATTGATTTTTGTATGAGGTGTAAGGAAGGGATCCAGTTTCAGCTTTCTACGTATGGCTAGCCAGTTTTCCCAGCACCATTTATTAAATAGGGAATCCCTTCCCCATTGCTTGTTTTTCTCAGGTTTGTCAAAGATCAGATAGTTGTAGATATGCGGCGTTATTTCTGAGGGCTCTGTTCTGTTCCATTGGTCTATATCTCTGTTTTCGTACCAGTACCATGCTGTTTTGGTTACTGTAGCCTTGTAGTATAGTTTGAAGTCAGGTAGCGTGATGCCTCCAGCTTTGTTCTTTTGGCTTAGGATTGACTTGGTGATGCGGGCTCTTTTTTGGTTCCATATGAACTTTAAAGTAGTTTTTTCCAATTCTGTGAAGAAAGGCATTGGTAGCTTGATGGGGATGGCCTTGAATCTGTAAATTACCTTGGGCAGTATGGCCATTTTCACGATATTGATTCTTCCTACCCATGAGCATGGAATGTTCTTCCATTTGTTTGTATCCTCTTTTATTTCCTTGAGCAGTGGTTTGTAGTTCTCCTTGAAGAGGTGCTTCACAACCCTTGTAAGTTGGATTCCTAGGTATTTTATTCTCTTTGAAGCAAATGTGAATGGGAGTTCACTCATGATTTGGCTCTCTGTTTGTCTGTTGTTGGTGTATAAGAATGCTTGTGATTTTTGTACATTGATTTTGTATCCTGAGACTTTGCTGAAGCTGCTTATCAGCTTACGGAGATTTTGGGCTGAGACAATGGGGTTTTCTAGATATACAATCATGTCGTCTGCAAACAGGGACAATTTGACTTCCTCTTTTCCTAATTGAATACCCTTTATTTCCTTCTCCTGCCTAATTGCCCTGGCCAGAACTTCCAACACTATGTTGAATAGGAGTGGTGAGAGAGGGCATCCCTGTCTTGTGCCAGTTTTCAAAGGGAATGCTTCCAGTTTTTGCCCATTCAGTATGATATTGGCTGTGGGTTTGTGCTAGATAGCTCTCATTATTTTGAGATACGTCCCATCAATACCTAATTTATTGAGAGTTTTTAGCATGAAGCATTGTTGAATTTTGTCAAAGGCCTTTTCTGCATCTATTGAGATAATCACGTGGTTTTTGTCTTTGGCTCTGTTTATATGCTGGATTACATTTATTGATTTGCGTATATTGAACCAGCCTTGCATCCCAGGGATGAAGCCCACTTGATCATGGTGGATAAGCTTTTTGATGTGCTGCTGGATTCGGTTTGCCAGTATTTTATTGAGGATTTTTGCATCAATGTTCATCAAGGATATTGGTCTAAAATTCTCTTTTTTGGTTGTGTCTCTGCCTGGCTTTGGTATCAGAATGATGCTGGCCTCATAAAATGAGTTAGGGCGGATTCCCTCTTTTTCTATTGATTGGAATAGTTTCAGAAGGAATGGTACCAGTTCCTCCTTGTACCTCTGGTAGAATTCGGCTGTGAATCCATCTGGTCCTCGACTCTTTTTGGTTGGTAAGCTATTGATTATTCCCACAATTTCAGATCCTGTTATTGGTCTATTCAGAGATTTAACTTCTTCCTGGTTTAGTCTTGGGAGAGTGTATGTGTCGAGGAATTTATCCGTTTCTTCTAGATTTTCTAGTTTATTTGCGTAGAGGTGTTTGTAGTATTCTCTGATGGTAGTTTGCATTTCTGTGGGATCGGTGGTGATATCCCCTTTATCATTTTTTATTGCGTCTATTTGATTCTTCTCTCTTTTTTTCTTTATTAATCTTGCTAGGGGTCTATCAATTTTGTTGATCCTTTCAAAAAACCAGCTTCTGGATTCATTAATTTTTTGAAGGGTTTTTTTGTGTCTCTATTTCCTTCAGTTCTGCTCTGATTTTAGTTATTTCTTGCCTTCTGCTAGCTTTTGAAAGTGTTTGCTCTTGCTTTTCTAGTTCTTTTAATTGTGATGTTAGGGTGTCAATTTTGGATCTTTCTTGCTTTCTCTTGTGGGCATTTAGTGCTATAAATTTCCCTCTACACACTGCTTTGAATGTGTCCCAGAGATTCTGGTATGTTGTGTCTTTGTTCTCATTGGTTTCAAAGAACATCTTTATTTCTGCCTTCATTTCATTATGTACCCAGTAGTCAGACAGCAGTAACCTCTGCAGACTTAAATGTCCCTGTCTGACAGCTTTGAAGAGAGCAGTGGTTCTCCCAGCACGCAGCTGGAGATCTGAGAAAGGGCAGACTGCCTCCTTAAGTGGGTCCCTGACCCCTGACCCCCAAGCAGCCTAACTGGGAGGCACCCCCCAGCAGGGGCACACTGACACCTCGTGTACATGGCAGGGTATTCCAACAGACCTGCAGCTGAGGGTCCTGTCTGTTAGAAGGAAAACTAACAAACAGAAAGGACCTCCACACCAAAAACCCATCTGTACATCACCATCATCAAAGACCAAAAGTAGATAAAACCACAAAAATGGGTAAAAAACAGAACAGAAAAACTGGAAACTCTAAAAAGCAGAGTGCCTCTCCTCCTCCAAAGGAACGCAGTTCCTCACCAGCAACGGAACAAAGCTGGACGGAGAATGACTTTGACGAGCTGAGAGAAGAAGGCTTCAGACAATCAAATTACTCTGAGCTAAGGAGGACATTCAAACCAAAGGCAAAGAAGTTGAAAACTTGGAAAAAAATTTAGAAGAATGTATAACTAGAATAACCAATAGAGAGAAGTGCTTAAAGGAGCTGATGGAGCTGAAAACCAAGGCTCGAGAAGTACGTGAAGAATGCAGAAGACTCAGGAGCCGATGCCATCAACTGGAAGAAAGGGTATCAGCGATGGAAGATGAAATGAATGAAATGAAGCGAGAAGGGAAGTTTAGAGAAAAAAGAATAAAAAGAAATGAGCAAAGCCTCCAAGAAATATGGGACTATGTGAAAAGACCAAATCTACGTCTGATTGGTGTACCTGAAAGTGATGGGGAGAATGGAACCAAGTTGGAAAACACTCTGCAGGATATTATCCAGGAGAACTTCCCCAATCTAGCAAGGCAGGCCAGTGTTCAGATTCAGGAAATACAGAGAACGCCACAAAGATACTCCTCGAGAAGAGCAACTCCAAGACACATAATTGTCAGATTCACCAAAGTTGAAATGAAGGAAAAAATGTTAAGGGCAGCCAGAGAGAAAGGTCGGGTTACCCTCAAAGGGAAGCCCGTCAGAGTAACAGCGGATCTCTCTGCAGAAACCCTACAAGCCAGAAGAGAGTGGGGGCCAATATTCAACATTCTTAAAGAAAAGAATTTTCAACCCAGAATTTCATATCCAGCCAAACTAAGCTTCATAAGTGAAGGAGAAATAAAATCCTTTACAGACAAGCAAATGCTGAGAGATTTTGTCACCACCAGGCCTGCCCTACAAGAGCTCCTGAAGGAAGCACTAAACATGGAAAGGAACAACTGGTACCAGCCGCTGCAAAATCATGTCAAATTTTAAGTCTTGAAATTCTCAGCCTCCAGAAATACATTTCTGTTCTTTTTAAATTACCCAGCCTCAGGTATTCTGTTATAGCAGTACAACACTGCTATAATAGACTAAGATACCTGTCTTAAAAAATACATATTATTATAGTCATCCTATTGGGTATGAAGTGATATCTTAATGTGGTTTTGATTTGCATTTCTCTAAAGACTAATAATATTGAGTGTCCATGTGCTTATTGGACATATATATCTTCTTTTAAGAAATATCCATTAAGATCCTTTGTGTATTTCTAAATTGGATTATTTTTGTTTTTTCTTGAGTTATCTTTTTATTATCAATTGATAAGTGTTATATAACTTTTAGTTTTACTAATTAATATATTCTGGGTAATGCACATGACGTGATAATAGATTCTCTCACACCTCCATTTCACTTCATCTCATGGAGATACTGAAAAGATTGAAATGGAATTAAAAATAAGGGTATGTTTTCTATATTAAAATAGTTATGTAAAATTTTATATTATGCTTATGTCAGCTAAAATGAAAGGAATGATAATATTTCATTACAAATTTAAAAAGTTAAAAATCTTTGATAAATATTACCTGCATGATTGTCCTGGGATTCAGTATTTTTTTTACTTCACTTTTACCACAATTCTGTTTGGTGATCTTTGGTTTCTTAACACATTACCTTGGCCCTAAGAGCTTTAGTCCTGTCTGGCCCTGTTGCAATGACACTTACTGTCTCAGGGGTCTGTGATATCAGTTTTACATCGGTCACCGACTCTGAGATTGCCCTGGGCTCTTTAGACTAGTCATTAAACCTATTCTTCCTTTAGCCTCATTAGACTTCTAAAACCAGTATCTTGACCTCCTACTTAGCCAGGCTGGTGAAGAGGAAACTGAATGCAAGGAAAGTGTGTGTCAGATGGAAGCATTGTAGGAACACAGGATACAGTCTCCTGAGTGATAATATAATTGGAAAATGATAGATAGTATTAAAATAATTTTAAAAATTTTTTGCTTTACAGGTAGGCACTTTTATATTAGCTTCCAAGATTTCAGTAACATACAGACATCATCAGAAAATAATAAAACAATATACATTGTGTGAGTAGTGTACACATTTTAAACTAACAAAAAATGTAAATGATCTTTGTTTCTAATAACTTTTTTCCTACTTCCATGTGACTTTCTAATTTTCTCTCATTAAGTGCTGTGAAAAACAATCTTTTCACTTCAGATAAGGTTTTAGTGCCTCAATAATTTCTATTTTCAACCACTGGAAAGACACTCTCTAGAATCTCTGTTCTTGTATTTTGGAAATAATGGGGAAATTTATTGACTAAAGTTCCAACAGAGACTCTAAACTCTGGAAAAGGTAGAAAGATATATATGCACAAAGAAATGCTTCACAGATTATCAAGGAGATAAAAAACTAATAGACAGTTTCCATGGTAAGGCCCAAAAAGAAGAGATTTGCTCTAACAAGAAACAATACTCAATAATCTTTTTATATGATAACAAGAATTCACAAAAATCTACTTTTGGCTGGTGCATAATAGGAAAAAAAAAATAGCAAAAAATTGAGCTTCGTATGTGACCAGTTATGTCAGTTTGTTAAGATGTGGCATTAAGTGAGATCAGATCACATAATTTCATTTTTAGAAATGACTTTTACAATTATCAACTTAAACCATTTCATTATAAAAATGAGAAAAATGAGCCTCATAAAAGTCAAGTAAATTTTCCAAGGAAAGACTTTTGATTAGTGCTCTCCTACACATAAGTTCTATGTTATTTTCTCTATTTCATGCAGTTTCTACGTGAGTTATGTCCTTTGCCCTATGCTGTTCTTTAGCACACAGATTTCTATTTTTTTGTATCAACTATATGCATGACATTATGTTACAGAAAATGGATTTATTATTTTAAACAGTGAATATTTCAAAATTAGTATTCAGAGTTCATCCTCATTTTATAGCTGAAGAAACTGAGTCTCAGGGGAGTTATGCGGATTCCTTAACATTACAAAGTTAGTAAGTGGAATGGTTAAAATTCAAATCCAATAGGTTCATATCAGCCAAGTCCATAGTCATTTTAGCAGACAGTGATGATTTTCTAGTTTTAGGTCTGCTAAAGAATAAAGAAAAAAGTGAAGAAATTTAAATCAGCAAATCTTACTTATTTCAGTAAATGTTAATTTCACTGCTCTGTAATAGGTATATTTATTAAATTATATATGTAGGCAAAAACAAAGAAGCAAACTAAGAGAAAACAAAAACACAACTATGTCACTTGGAAACAGTTTTACTATCACTTGGTCTTTTGTAATCTTTCAATAGGCTTATAAAAGTGAATGTATGTATACTTCCACTTCAGTCCAGGAGGATTAACAGGTATTTGATTTGCCCTCACATCTTTATCACCTAGAAACCAGACAACTATATGAAACAATGGTTTTCAGTTATTGTACAGCAGGCAGTGCAGAACTGTGATCCCAGAGAGGAGGAAAATAAATGAGATAATTCCTATAATTGCAATAGCTTAGTTTGTAGAAGTAGTTTCCAGGTAACAACAGAAGAGAAAAAGCCAAACAAACCTCAGAAATCTCTGTGAGTGGAGAAAAAAAAGAGGTTAGTGTTTGGGGATACTGAGGTGCTCATAATTTTTAGGACAGACCACTAGAGAAAAAGAAGCTTAACTAGGTATAAGAACAGACCTTGAAAGGCTCTAACTGATCCCCAATAACTCCATTGCATACCAGAACAAAGAGGGCAATATTATTTTAAAACTACCATACAGAAAAAAATAATGAAAAATATAAAATGTGCAGCATACAATGAAAATCACCAGGCATGTAAAGAAGCAGAAGGATAAGACCAATAATAAAGATAAAATTTAAGAAATGTAAACAAATCTAGAAATCACCATTGCAGTTAGCAGAGGACATAATAGCAGTGACTATAAATATGTTCCAAAAGTTCAAAGAAGTAAGTGAAAAGAGGAACATGATGAAGAGAGAAATAGAATAGATAAAAAATAAAAAATTGAACTTTTAGATATAACAATGCAATACCTTTTAAAAGTATATTCGTGATATTAAGAACAGATTAAATTATGTATTTCAAAAGAAAAAGTGGTAAACATGAAGTCATAGGAAAAAAAGAAAATTCTCCAAAATAAAACATAAAGAAAATAGAACACCAAAAACTTGTGGGACAATTTCAAGTATAATTAGATCTAAAGAATAAAGGGAGAGAGAGTCAGAAAAAAAATGTTTAAAGAAATAATTGCCAAATTTTTTTCAAATTTAATAAAATGTATAAACCCATGAATTCAAAAGCTCAACAAATTTGAAGCAGAAAAAAGAAGGAAAAGAAAACACTACTATGGCACATCCTAATCAAGTTGGTGAAAACCAGAGTTAAACAAAAGCCAAATCTACTCAGTCCAGAATTTTACATAACATAGCATATAGCTTGCAAACAAACACAGCATAGCTGACTGCTAAATAAACATATGGCATTAGAGGTCATTTAATGATCAACCTTTAAAAAAAATTGCTGTAACTTCAGTAAAGAGCACAACCTTATTCAGCTTAATATGAAGCAGATGTATGTATCAGTGTAACTATCACCCTTAAATTGAATATACATCATTCCAGAAGGTTCTTTAAAACTTATTTTTTTACATTTACATAGTAGGTGTGTATATTTTGGGGGTACATCAGATGTTCTGTTACAGGCATGCAGTGTGAAATAAGCACATCATGGAGAATGGGGTATCCAAACCCTCAAACATTTATCCTTTGAGGTACAAACAATACAATTACATTCTTTAAGCTATTTAAAAATATGCAAAATTAAGTTATTATTGACTATAGTTACCCTATTGTTCTATCAGATAGTAGGTCCTATTCATTCTTTCCACTCTTTGTGCCCATTAACCATCTCCACCTTCCTCCCAACTGCTGGTAACCATCCTTCTACTCTCTATGTCCATGAATTCCTTCATATCAAATCAATCAAATCATGATTTGATTTTTAGATCCCATAAATGAGAGCATGCAATGTTTGTCTTTCTGTGCCTATTTCACTTAACACAATGACGTCATTCCCATCCATGTTGTTGAAAATGACTAGATCTCTTTCTTTTTATGACTGAATACTGCTCCATTGTGTTTATGTACCACATTTTCTTTATTTATTCATCTGTTAATGGACACCTAGGTTGCTTTCATATCTTAGCTATTTATTGTAAACAGTGCTGCAACAAACATAGGAGTACAGATTTCTCTTTGATATACTGGTTTCCTTTCTTTTGGGTCTATATCCAGCAGTGAGATTGCTAGATCATATGGTAGCTCATTTTTCAGTTATTTCAGGAACCTCCAAACTGTTTTCTATAGTGGTTATACTAATTTATATTCCCACCAACAGTGTACGAGGGTTCCCTTTTCTCCACATTCTCTCCAGCATTTTTATTGCTTGTCTTTTGGACAAAAGACATTTTAACTGGGGTGAGATTATATCTCATTGAAGTTTTGATTTCCATGTCTCTGATGATCATTGATGTTGAGCACCATTTCATATGCCTGTTTGTCATTTGCATGTCTTCTCTTCAGAAATGTCCATTCAAATCTTTTGCCCATTTTTTGATTGGATTATTAGATTTTTTTCCTATTGAGTTGTTTGAGCTTCTTATATAGTCTGGTTATTAATCCCTTTCAGATGGGTAGTTTGCAAATATTTTTTTCCCATTCTGTGGGTTGTCTCTTACTTTGTTGGCTGTATTCTTTGCTATGCAGAAGCTTTTTATCTTGATGTGATCCCATGTGCCCGTGTTTGCTTTGGTTGTCTGTGCTTGTGGGGTGTTGTTCAAGAAGTCTTTGTCCAGACCAATGTCCTGGAGATTATCCCCAATGTTTTCTTGCAGTAGTTTCATGGTTTGAGGTCTTAACAAGTGTTTAATCCATTTAGATTTGATTTTTGTGTATGAGGAGAGGTAGGGATGTAGTTTCATTCATTGGCATATGACTATCCAGTTTTCCCAGCAGCATTTATTGAAGATACTGTCTTTTTACCAGTGTATGTTCTTGGCACCTTTGTCAAAAACGAGTTTCCTGTAGGTGTGTTGATTTATTTCTGGGTTCTCTATTCTGTTCCATTAGTCTATGTGTCTGTGTTTATGCCAGTACCATGCTGTTTTGGTTACTATATGTCTGTAGTATAATTTGAAGTCAGCTAATGTGATTCCTCCAGTTTTGTTCCTTTTGCTTAGGATAGCTCTGTCTATTCTGGGCCTTTTGTTGTTCCATATATATTTTAGAATTTTTTTTTTATTTCTGTGAAGATTGTCTTTGATATTTTGTCAGGGATTGCATAGAATCTGTAGGTTGCTTTGGGTAATATGGACATTTTAACAATATTGATGCTTCCAATTCGTGAACATGAAATATGTTCCCATATTCTGGTGTCCTCTTCAATTTCCTTCATCAGTGTTTTATAGTTTATAGAGATCTTTCATGTCTTTGATTAAGTCAACTCCTATGTGTTTAATTTTACCTGTGGCAATTGTAAATGGGATTACTTTTTAAATTTCTTTTTCACATTGTTCACTGTTGACATATAGAAATGCTACTGATTTTTGTATGTTAATTTTGTGTCCTGTAACTTTATTAAATTTGTTTATCAGTTCTAGTAGTTTTCTTTTTGAGTCTTTAGGTTTCTCCAAATATAACATCATATCATCAGCAAACAGGAATAATTTGACTTCTTCCTTTCCAATTTAGATGCCCTTTATATCTTTCTCCTGTTTAATTGTTCTAGCTAGGACTTCCAGTACTATGTTGGATAACAGAAGGTTCTCTTATAATCTTTCTCAGAGATAATAATTCTGCTTTTGAAAACTAAAGATTAAATTTTGTCTAGTCTCAAACATCATATGAATTAAATCATATTATAATAACTTGTGTGTCTGTCTTCTTTCATTCAACATATTATCTGTGAGAATTATCTATGATTTTGCATTTTTCAGGAATACTTTTTGTTGATTTTATAAATGCACTAAAATTCATCCATTCTCTTTTTTGTAGATGTTTGAGTTGCTCCCAGTTTTATGCTACCATGAATGAGGTCAGTAGAAATATTTTTATACATACTGTCGGCTAATGTAGTCAATTATGTTTTTGTGATGTATACCTAAACATGGCATTGTTGGGTCATAAGGTAGAAGTGTGCCTAGGCTTAATAGACGTTGTCAAGAGTTACTCACAGTAATTGAAGTAGTTTATATTTCTACTAACACTACATGAGAGTTTTGGTTTCTTCACTTTCTCACCAAGAATTGACATTGTCTGTCTTCTTAATTTTAGTTTTTGTTTTTCTCTTGGAGTAAGTTGATAAATCATTGAGATTTTACTTTGTGTTTTCTTGATGCATAATGATATTGAGCATATTTTATAGCTTATTGGCCATTTAGCTATCTACCTTCTTCTTGTTCAAGTTTCCCAGTTTTTGAAGTGTGTCTTTGGTCATTTAATTATGAATTTGTAGGATTCATTTATAACCTAGATATGTATTCTTTGTTAGATATACTTGTTTTATGTATCTTCTTCCAGTTTTTTTTTGGACTTACCTATTTCAATGAACAAAAGATCTTGATTTCAAAGAAGTCCAATTTATCAATATTTTGATTTTGGAATGAGCATATTTCTGCTCTATTTAACAAATATTTGTTCACCCAAGTTCACGGGATTATTTTCCTATATATTCTTGAAGATTTATTGTTTTACCTTCCATAGACCTGTAGATCTATTTTCCATTTCAGATTAATTTTTACATATGGCATAAGGAATGAGTCAAAAATTATTTGGTTTTCTATAAGGTTATCTGATTGTTCCAGCAGTATTTACGTCAAAGATTATTTTTAAAATATTCAGCTAATGTGACCCCTATTTTATAAATCATGTGAATATATATTTATACAGTAATCCCCCCTTATCTGCAGGATATCTGCGAAGGATTTTTAACTTTTTCCTGATATATAGAAATAAAATTGAATTCTGGATATTTACTTCTAATCTAATGACTTTAGTAATTTGACGCAGGGATAGACTGTTTGGATTTAGATCAGCTGACATTTGCTGAACTTCTCAAATCCACAAAGTCATGTCTTTCATCAAATTAGATATTATTTAGTCAATATTTTAAAAATGTGGTTTCTGGCCTATTCTCTCTCTTATCCCATTATTAAACTCCACTTATAAGTAGGTTAGATATTTTGGCTGTATGGTATTATTTTTCTCATATTTTAAATATTTTTCTTACTTTTCTTTACACTTTTTTTTGTGATATAGTGTGCTTGTGGAGACTTTGCATTATCATATTCCTGTAAAGATTGTTGAGTTTCTATTTTGGTTTGTAGGGTTTTGCTTTGTTTTATTTTAAAATTGAAATATGAGGGTTTCATTTTGATTCTATTGATGCTTTACTTTAGGCTATGTTAGAGTGGTTCTATTTAGTTTTGCCTTTACATTTAAGGCACAATCATTTAGAGGTCACAACTGAATACCCATTGTCTTTTGTATTGCATGGAAATTCTACTGGCCCTGGATTCTAACATATACCATGTCTTGTGCAACCTCTCTTCTTTGCTAGGTCTTCTAGCTGTCTGTTCTATGTGTGTGAAGCTTAGGAGTCAGTCAAGGTTGGGAGAGAATTTTTTATACAGGTTTTTAGAGAATTTTTCTCTGCTACTCTGTCCTGCATATCAAGTTCCAGCTGCATTGTAAAGCCAGAACTCTGTATTTCCTTTGACCAATAAACTTCCACTTTCTATGAAAAATGTATTTAAAGATGCAGTTAAAGAGAAATTCAATGTGAATATTAATCTCCTCTTGTGTGCTTCGTTTGTATTAATTACTAGTGCTTTCTGATGGTAACAAAAGTTTGGTTTGGTCTAGCTTTCGTAATTGCCCGGGATGGAGGAGTCAGTCTGATAGAGCTACTTTCTCATGGCCCATATCAGTTTTTAAAAGGATACAAAATATACTGCAAATAATTGCAAAGAACACACTCATGCTAAGCTAATTGACATTGGTCTAATTTGTAGAAACAGTAAGAGGTTTCAGTATTTATTGCAAACACTTTACATCAAACACCTCAGTGATTGCTGAATCTCAAGATTAAAACCACGGATGAAAGTAAACATTTTGTATTTCAGAATTAAGACCCAAAACTATATACTCATACTCACCTTAAGTAATCAATATTAATTAATTTATTCATTCCTTGTTAAATTAATATTTGTTGATAAACTACCAGTTGCCAAGTAATCTTCAAAAGTGTGTGAAACAATTAGAAAAGAGAGATCAAACTGATAAACTGCATCATAGTTAAGTTTAATGCTACTCTGCAAGATATCTTATTATCATTATAGATGTCAAAAATAAATGTATCCTTATGTTTTAGAACAAGAATTAACCCTCAAAAAAGTAAATAAGTGAAAGATTAAGTAATAAGAAACTGTAGAATACTCTAGCAAATAGGAAAAGTTTTTAAATATTATAATGTCATACATTGTTAGAAATGTGAAAATATATATACACAGGTAAGAAGCTTCTAGGATTGATTAAATCTTTATTTCAAGAAAATAGTAGGCCAGGTGCGGTGGCTCATGCCTGTAATCCCAGCACTTTGGGAGGCCAAGGCGGGCAGATCACGGGGTCAGGAGTTCAAGACCAGCCTGACCAACATGGTGAAATCTCGTCTCTACTAAAAATACAAAAATTAGCTGGGTGTGGTGGCACATGGCTGTAATCCCAGCTACCAAGGAGGCTGAGGCAGGAGAATCGCTTGAACCCGGGAAGTGGAAGTTGCAGAGAGCCAAGATTACACCACTGCACTCCAGCCTGGGTGACAAAAAAACATAAAGAAGTACAGTTGTTCTCAAGGAAAATCAGGCAATATACATTTCCACATTTTAATATTTATAGCCTTTGAAATGATAATTTCATTTTCAAGAATTATCTTAAAAACTATTTGATATGTACAAATATACATACAAAATCATGTTCATCTGACCATTATTTATAATGCTAAAAATAAAAAGCCACCTAATAAATATTTTCAAGGGACTAGGTATGTGATAAGACTATTTGCAGGTATTCTCAAAATATAGCTAAGATTATGAGAACATTCTGGATGTAAATTGTAAAGTAAAATAAGATATCAAAAAATATTTTCACTATTGTTTTCATTCCTATATTTACATTTTAACAAGAAAACTCCTTAAAAAATGTTTTTGATTACCCCCACCCCCACCTTATATTAGGAATGTTCACTACATGATGATGTAGTAAGAAATTATTTTTATGATTAGTTTTTTTTTCTTTTTTTTTTTTTTACTTCAATAGGTCTTTGGGGAACAGGTGGTTTTTGGTTACATGAATAAGTTTTTTAGTGTACACTGTACCCAATGTGTAGTCTTGTATCCTTTCCCACCACTCACCCTTTTTCCCCGAGTCCCCAAAGTCCAATGTATCATTCTTATGCCTTTGAGTCGTCATAGCTTAGCTTCCACATATGAATGAAAACCTACAATGCTTGTTTTTTATTTCTGAATTACTTCACTTAGAATAGTAGTCTCCAGTTTTACCCAGGTTCCTGTAAATGACATTATTTCACTCCTTTTTATGACTGAGTAGTATTCCATGATATTTATATATGTGTGTGTATGTATATATGCACCACATTTTCTTCATCCTCTCGTTGATTGATGGGCATTTGAGCTGGTTTCATACTTTTGCAATTGCAAATTGTGCTGTTATAAACATGTGTGTGCAAGTATCTTTTTTGTATAATGACTTCTTTTCATCTGCGTAGATACCTAGTAGTGGGATTACTGGATGAAATGGTAGATCTACTTATAGTTCTTTAAGGAATCTCCACACTCTTTTCCACAGTGGTTGTACTAGTTTACATTCCCTCCAACAGTGTAAAAGTGTTCCTTTTCACCTCGTCCACACCAACATCTATTTTTTTTTAATTTTTTGATTATGGCCTTTCTTGTAGAAGTGAGGTGGTATCACACTGTGATTTGGATTTGCATTTCCCTGATAATTAATGATGTTGAACATTTTTCTATGTGCTTCTTAGCCATTTGTATATCTTCTTTTGAGAATTGTCTATTCACATGCTTAGCCCACTTTTTGATGGGATTTTTTTTTCTTGCTGGTTTGTTTGATTTCCTAGTAGATTTTGGATATTAGTCCTTTGTTGGATGTATAAATTGTGAAGATTTTCTCCCACTCTATGGGTTGTCTGTTAACTCTGCTGATTTTTTTTTTTTTTTTTTACTATGCAGAAGCTTTTTTGTTTATTTCAGTCCCATCTATTTATGTTTGCTTTTGTTCCATTTGCTTTTGAGTTCTTGGTCATGAAGTCTTTGCCGAAGCGAATGTATACAAGGGTTTTTCCAATGTTTTGTTCTAGAATCTTTATGGTTTCGGGTCTTAGATTTATGTCTTTGATCCATCTTGAGTTGAGTTTTGTATAAGGTGAGAAATGAGGATCCAATTTCATTCTTCTACATGTGGCTTGCCAATTATCCCAGCACCATTTGTTGAACACGGTGTTTTTACCCACTTTATGTTTTTGTTTACTTTGTCGAAGATCAGTTGGCTGTAAGTATTTGGGTTTATTTCTGAGTTCTCTATTCTGTTCCATTTGTCTATGTGCTTATTTTTATACCAGTACCATACTGTTTTGGTGACTATGGCCTTATACTGTAGTTTCATGTCAGGTAATGCGATGCCTCCAGATATATATATATATATATATATAAATTTTTTTTTTTTTTGCTTTGTCTGGCTATGTGGGCTCTTTTTTGGTTCCATATGAGTTATAGGATTGCTTTTTTCTAATTCTGTGATGAATGATCATGGCATGTTGATGGGAATTGCATTGAATTTACAGATTGCTTTTGGAAGTGTGGTCATTTTCACAATATTCGTTCTACCCATCCATGAGCATGGTGTTTGTGTTTCTTTTGTTTGTGTTGTGTATGATTTCTTTCAGCAGTGTTTTGTAGTTTGTGCAAGTAGAGGTCTTGCACATCCTTGGTTAGGTATATTCATAAGTATTCTTTCTTTTTTTTTTTTTTTTTTGCAGCTGTTGTGAAAGGGGTTGAGTTCTTGATGTGACTCTCAGCTTAGTCACTGTTGGTGTATAGCAGAGCTACTGATTTGTTTACGTTAATTTTGTATCCTGAAAGTTCAATGAATTCATTTACCAGTTTTTTTAATAGTTAGATTTTATTGTTATGTCTGCTAAATTTATATTTTTGTATATTTTTAAAGCAGCAGCATACTTAGTTAAGAAGTTCAAAAAGTATAAATCAGTCATGGAGGTCTAAATGGATTTTTAGTTGTGGCAATACATATTTGTTTGGTTACCAAAGAGATACTTTATTGAATACTGCATTTTAAAGGTAGTGACAAGATTTTGCCTACCTTCCAAAATGTTAAATTAAGGGCTGAGGTTTTAAGAAACCTTATTATTCATTCTACAACTTCCCCTGACAAAGGTTTTATCTACTGTCTTTGTCTATCCTTCACCTATTGATCTGTTCATACATTTATATTGATGAAAATAGAAATGGTTAAAACCAAATCTGCTTTGACAATAACATGTTGGAAGACGATTAAGAACTTCAACCCATGATTGTGTATGCTTTATTATACATGAGTTAAACACACAGCAAACAACCTGGCATGTGACAGACTCTTAAACTGTTTGTGAAATAAGTGGATGCACTGAACCTACTAAGATATTTTCTAAGAATTTTCATGTGACAACATATATGGGCAGCAGTTATGTCACTCATAATCTTTTTAGTTTTTCCTTCCAAGGTCACCATTTCTACTGCTTCTGACCAGAAACCCCCAATTCCTTGTTGCTATGGAAAGTTACCTCGCACTCTGTTTTTTTTTAGATAATTCTTATTTTTCAGAAGACATTAATTATTGCCCAATTTTTAAATTGTAACATCAGACTTTAAGTAGTTTAGGTACTATCACTCACATCAGAACTTCAGGTTATCTGAAAATACAACTTCGTTTCTTTCTGACAATCTAGATCTTTCAGAATACAATATTATCAACTGAAAGCCAAACAGGACATTATGACTCTTGATAATATGTGACAGAGAGGGTTCGGCATCTTAATGCATCATTTTTTTAATGAACATTTTGGTGTGCTGTAGTTAATATCATGTTATATGTAAACATATATATAATATATTCACACAGAGAATACAGTAAGGTTAAATATGACACTATGACACAAGGTAGTTTTATTTTATGTGCTTTGTGCCCTTTGTTTCACTTATACGTTTGTAAGGAGAAGGATCATAGAAACTGCAACCCCAGAATCAGTTATTGCATTTAGGATTCCAAAAACTGAAAATGAAATATCAAGTTCCCACCACCAAATAAGAGCATTCCGTAAATGGAAGGCAAATAATCCCTTTCAATTGCCTAATTTAAGGTAGGTTCTTTGGGGAAAAGACTACTGCAAATAGAATGTATTACTGAAAAAAAAGCATTTTATTTGCTAGATCTATTTGCTTAAGTAGAACAAGGATTTCATAGCACTGGAAAGTGTGAAAATCTTATACAGACATTAGTAATATCATAATTTTATTTTAAATTGAAAAAAGTTTAAAATATGCAATTTTAGACATATACAATGTCTTCATGGGTCATCAGTTCAAAGCTTCATTTTAATTGTTTAGGAAATGATGCCTGGAACAATGAAGCTCCTGTCTGCCTGCATAGCTAACCAGTGACTACGACAGTACTAAAGCCAAGAATCTACATTGTTCCTACCACGGCACAAAAATCTACATTTTTTTTTTTTTCTTTTTTTTTTTTTTTGAGACGGAGTCTCGCTCTGTCGCCCAGGCTGGAGTGCAGTGGCGGGATCTCGGCTCACTGCAAGCTCTGCCTCCCGGGTTCAAGCCATTCTCCTGCCTCAGCCTCCCAAGTAGCTGGGACTACAGGCGCCCGCCACTACGCCCAGCTAATTTTTTGTATTTTTAGTAGAGACGGGGTTTCACCGTTTTAGCCGGGATGGTCTCGATCTCCTGACCTCGTGATCCGCCCGCCTCGGCCTCCCAAAGTGCTGGGATTACAGGCTTGAGCCACCGCGCCCGGCCAAAAATCTACATTTTTAACCCAGTGCTTCTACTGCCACATTAAACTCCTGCATTGTGAAGGAAAGAAATATTTGGTTGAATGAAGCACCTTATGATAAAAATGAACAGATTGAAGGAAGATTGATAACAGTGTTGCAAGATAGTGGCAGAACTTGGAATCAGAAACAGCAGGGTGATACTCCTGTACAACATTATTTTCTCATAGCCTGATACTTAAAAATACCATTTTAACTACAGCACACCAAATGTCCATTAAAAAAATTACAAGTCAGTTATACATATGCAAGGTTTCCTCTAAAACTAATAACAGCCAACATTTTTGAAAGCCTACTATGTAAGAAATGGATGATAAATGCAATAAATGTGTTAAAGGAAAAACTACAAATTAAATTTAGTAGAGTGTATTTGAGCAAAGAAATGGTTTATGAACAAGGCACTACCCTGAACCAGTATTTAGAAAGCCCCACCCAGCAATGTGCACAGGTAGTATTTATCCACAGGGGGAAAAGAAAAGTAACATAAATAGCCTGATTGGTTATAGCTTGATGTTTGCCTTATTTGGACATGTCTGAGCAATTTGCAGCCTGTGATTGGCTGAAAGCTTGGCTGTTATGATTGGCCGAGACCCACTTACTTGTTACAAGAATACACTTTCGTTAGGTGAGGTCGTAGTTTTGGTTTTCCAGATTTGTTTTTCTGGTATAATTATCCTTTTATTTTGTATGTATGTATTCATTTTTTTGAAGACAGCATTTAATAAAATTTAAGTAATGCCTAAGTATTTGGGCTCTGCTGGTTTACTAATACATTTTTTAAATTATACTTTAAGTTCAGGGGTACATGTGCAGAATGTGCAGTTTTGTTACATAGGTATACACGAGCCACAGTGGTTTGCTGCATCCTCAACCTATCACCTACATTAGGTATTTCTCCTAATGTTATCCCTCCCCTAGCCCCCCACCCCCTGACAGGCCCTGGTGTTTGATGTTCCCCTCTCTATGTCCATGTGTTCTTATTGTTCAACTCCCACTTATGAATGAGAACGTGCAGTGTTTGGTTTTCTGTTCTTGTAATAGTTTGCTGAGAATAGTGTTTTCCAGCTTCATCCATGTCCCTGCAAAAGACATGAACTCATCCTTTTTATGGCTGTATAGTATTCCATAGTGTATATGTGCCGCATTTTCTTTATCTGGTCTATTACTGATGGACATTTGGGTTGATTCCAAGTCTTTGCTATTGTGAATAGTGCCGCAATAAACATACATGTGCATGTGTCTTCATAGTAGAATGATTTCTAATCCTTTAGGTATAAACCCAGTAATGGGATTGCTGGGACAAATGGTATTTCTAGTTCTAGATCCTAGAGGAATCACCGTACTGTCTTCCACAATGGTTGAACTAATTTATACACCCACCAACGGTGTAAAATCATCCCTATTTCTCCACATCATCTCCAGCATCTGTTGTTTCCTGACTTTTTAATGATCGCCATTCTAACTGGCGTGAGATGGTATCTCATTGTGGTTTTGATTTGCATTTCTCTAATGACCAGTGATGATGATACGCATTTTTTCATATTTCTGTTGGCTGCATAAATGTCTTCTTTTGAGAAGTGTCTGTCTGTTCACATAGTTTGCCTACTCTTTGATGGGGTTGTTTGTTTTTTCTTGTAAATTTGTTTAAGTTCTTTGTAGATTCTGGGTATTAGCCCTTTGTCAGATGGATAGATTGCAAAAATTATCTCGCATTCTGTAGGTTGCCTGTTCACTCTGATGATAGTTTCTCTTGCTGTGCAGAAGCTCTTTAGTTTAATTAGATCCCATTTGTCAATTTTGGCTTTTGTTGCCATTGCTTTTGGTGTTTTAGTCATGAAGACTTTGCCCATGCCTGTGTCCTGAATATGTAGCCATGAGGAAATATACTTATTATTACCATCTCTAGCTTAAGTAAAGCTAAAGGAGAAAATATGATTATAAGTATTTGTAAGTATTTTGGTATGATGCTAGTTGTTTTTGAATGTCTTCTCTGCCTAGCTGTAACTAATCAAAAAAGCTAAATCTTGTTGACATTTAAATAGGTGGCCTTAGTTATATAAGATGGCATTTAGCTTAATAATTTCATTTTTCTTCATTCATTCTACTAAATTGCTCCAACTGTAATATTACTACACTGCACTTTACATGAGGAGCAATATTATAGCATTCAAAACAAGTATTTACCCTGTCTTATCTTTCATGGGTTTTTCAAAAAAGAATACAACTTATTAACAAGTAGGCAAATGTAACATGGAAATGCTTTTTTTCATCATGATTTTTAAGTATGTTCTGGCTCCCAATATGATAATTTTGCCTACTGAAATTTTCATTCCAGCCTAAGGTATTTGGTAGAAAGATGCTTAAAACTTACCTCAGTGACATTAGCTTAATTGCCCAATTTGCAGGAGACAACCAAAGCTAACCTTTATTATCATGTTTTACTGTTTATAAAATGCTTCATGTGTGGGACTATTTGATTCCACGATCTTTTTTTTTTTTTTTGAGACAGAGTATTGCTCTGTCGCCCAGGCTAGAGTGCAGTGGCACGATCTCAGCCCACTGCAAGCTCCGCCTCCCAGGTTCACGCCATTCTCCTGCCTCAGCCTCCCGAGTAGCTGGGACTACAGGCGCCCGCCACCACGCCCGGCTAATTTTTTGTATTTTTTAGTAGAGACGGGGTTTCACCGTGTTAGCCAGGATGGTCTCAATTTCCTGACCTCGTGATCCACCCGCCTCGGCCTCCCAAAGTGCTGGGATTACAGGCGTGAGCCACCGCGTCCGGCCTGATTCCAGGATCTTAAATCCCATTTCACAAAAAAGAGGCACTGACAAAAATTTATCCGTGCATACAATTAATTAGTGAGAGGACAGGGACTTGAATCTGTGTTTTCTAAACTCAATTTCCTGTTTTTGTGTTAGTCAATCCACTTTACCCTGCAGTCTTATAGCCTATGCCCTTGTCATAAAACTCCTTTGCCTGACTACGTTTACTGTGTATGTATGTAAAGAAGCTGGTATCAAATCCTCCCATTACAAGCATGGTAAAAATCCCAACACTTTCAAATGTTCACTGTTCATAAATATTCATTAATTGGAAACTACTACCAAAACATGCTGGATTTTATTAGGCTCTGAAGTATAAAGAGGAGAGAGAATTCAGATGCATGAGGAAAACTGCCCTTCTGAAAATGCTACAAGTAACTGTAATTCCTTAGACAGTAATACTTTCCAGGTTTATCTACATGGACCTCTACAATCCCAGAATGAACATATTCCTATAAAATGAAGTGTCCTAAAAGCAAAGATAAAGAGGAAAAAGATTCTGGCACTGGTGGGTTGGTTATAATCGTAAAGAAGATGCAATTGACCTAGAGAAAACTTTGATATGGAAAATAGCTCAGATTTATCCCAATGCCTCTCACAATTAGCTCTTTTAGTAAATGGGCATATTTATCTCAATATTTCCAGGATAATTGTTTGTGGCTCAGTGATAAATAGCATGGCACCATCTGCACATAAAATCTTTTTATGTTCTGATTCTCTTGTTATTGTATCTTGATGCTAATGCTATTCTTAAGGCCATGTATGCACTGGTAAAGAAGTAGGTGCGTACTTCTTGT
Source organism: Homo sapiens (assembly GCF_000001405.40). NCBI lineage: Eukaryota > Metazoa > Chordata > Mammalia > Primates > Hominidae > Homo > Homo sapiens. The sequence goes on from NC_000002.12 coordinate 51,872,228, forward strand.
TGACTTTCGGTTAAATTTACAACACTAAAAGTATATTTCCTAATTTTACCTTTTGTGGGAAATTTATCTTCTGGGAAAATTAACAAAAATTAAGGATCTGTGGTCCACTACAAGTAGCAGCTCCAGTTTACTTGTACTGGGGTTGTATACATAATTTAGATAATACAGACAGTTAAATGATTTGGGTGGCAGAATGCTAAAGACGTATCTTATAGGTAACTTGTTTGTAAAACTGTATAGTACTTTCAAGTAATTTTGAATTGCATGACACTGACAGTCAGGGAAAAGAAAATGCATGAATGTGATAAACCGTTTTCATCTTATTTATGACCAAATGGGGAATTTAACCATTGTGATATTCCACCAAAATAACTCAGTGCATTGATAACCATAGCGTATTTTATTTCTTATTATGAAAGAGGAACAATATTTCATGCTAAATTTTGTTAATACTGAGCTCAAATGTGTTATCAATATAATTCATATCCTTCTATGGGGCAATGACTTTCAACACAGGGCTGAGGGTACATACATTGTCATAAATCTTGTATACATTTGTTGAAGTATCTGCATTTCCATTTCACAAAAAAGTACAGATGTGTGGATGCCTTGATCGACTCGTTAAAGATTTTTTTGTTGTTGTTTTATGTCTGTATTGACTTTTCTTTTCTCTCATGCTTAAAAGTTACTATTCTATACATTTATAGAATGGAAGACCATACTTCACTATTTATTATCTCTTGTTCCTCATTTCTTTGTGTGGGTATTTGGTAAATGGAAACAGCTTGGGCATTATCTTCATACACTTTCTTTTCATGTGCCATTAGGCTTCAGCATCATTCATGCGTTAATTAATTCATTTATTTTAAAAGAAATTTCCCAAATATACTCTGTACTATGTACCTTGATAAGCAGATACACTTCTCTGTAAAAAATTCTTAAGACCTCGTGCTATAAACATGATAATCTCTATTTTACAAAACAGAAAGGAGGACCAGAAAACTTAAGTGATTTGCCCAGAGACACATATCCAGTGAATGAGAAAGAATCAATTAGAAAGTTAATCTTCCAAAATTAAGACTAGGGTTCTTTTAATCATTTCCAGTTGCTTCAAATGAATGCTACAACTATATTCAGACATTTCTTTATGATGGGAGAATTAAAAGTGAGTGCTTAAGGTCTTAGAATACAGAAAAGAGGTAGAAGAATATTGTTCAAATTTTAGTGGGCAGCAGTAACTACTACAGACCTAGCTAGAGCGTAGATTCCAGAGAAATGACATCAGCAAAATGGCAAAGTAGGTGGCTCCAAGCTCTTGTGCCCTTATAGAAAAATATATATGAAATACATACACACACACACACACACACACACACACACACAGACACACACACACCAAGGCAGAAATGTCAGTATCAACATTGTCAGAACTTTGGAAAATATTCAAAGGTTTACAACAACCTTGCCTGTTTTAATAAAGAAAATGCCAACTTGAAAACAGTAGGAAAGCTTTCCCATATATAAACATTCCCTTGCCTCACTGTTTCCCTAGAATGTCAGCAATCTGGAAGCAGTGATAGCCTTTCCAGTGTGGAATTCTGGTTCCAGCTTCTGGACCAAGAAGAGCAGATCTTATTTGTTCTTGTCTGTTCTAACATGTCTGAAGCCACCTAAAGCATTGATGCAAGTGCTCACCTTTGTTTCGCTTATATCAGAACTCAGGCCAGAAAAGTGGTGTGCATAGGTAGAAAATGCTGCAAGGTGAAATAACCTGAAAATGACTGAGACAGAAGATTACGGTTGAGAAATACAATAGATTAAAAAAAAAGAAGGCATTGGAGGAAAAGCTGGGAAGATTCTTTGAGAAATTAGGGCATTCCAAAGCCCAATGTGTACAGGAGAAATTAGAAAGCTATGTACACCAAACAACAGAACCCCAGAATATATAACACAAAAAAGCCAGCATTATAGGGAGAAATTGAATAGGCAGGTCTATAATTATATTTGGAGATCTCAGTATACCACTTCCAATAACTAACAATCCTTCTATGGGCCAATAATTAATAAAATATCTAGAAAAAAGAGCAATAAGGAAACAAAGGACTTTACCAACACTACAAAGTAGATCTAGAGGACATATATGGAATACTCCCCCCAACAACAGCAGAATACACTTTCTTGTCAAGTGGATCTGAAACATTCTCCAGAATAGATGATACGTTAGGCCACAGAGAATTCTCACTCAATTTAAAGAGATTAAAATCATACCAGGTATCTTCTGTAATAACAATAGGATAAAGCTAGAAATAAATAACAGAAATAAAAGTGAAACATTTACAAATATGTAGAAATTAACACTCTCTTAAACAGCTAATGGGTTGAAGAAGAAATCAAAGAAAATTAGAAAATACATAAAGACAAATAAAAATTAAAACATAGCATACCAAATCTTACGGAATACAGTGAAAGCAGTGCTCGGGAGAAAATGGTAGCTGTAAACAGTTATATTAAAAAGGAAACATCTCAGATCTATAATATTGTACTTTGAGGAACAGGAATGAGATGAGCAAACTAAACTGAACATTAGCAGAAATAAGGGAATAATAGGGATTAGAGGAGAGTTAAGTAAAATGGAAAATGGATAAACAGTATTGTGGATAGAGCAAGATGGTGCAACAGAAGCCTACACCATTGATCTTCCCAGCAGAAACACAACATTTTAACAACTATCTGCACATAGAAAAGCACCATCACAAGAACCAAAAATCAGGTGACAATTATAGTACCTGATTTTCATTTGATATCTCTGAAAATGGCATAGAAGACAGTTGGAGAGACAATCTTGTACAGCCGAAGCCACCCCTTCCCTGTCCCCTGGCAGCAGCTGTGCGGCATTGAGAAAGAATCTATTCTTTTGTGAGAGAGAGGACACAGTGGCTGGGGGACTTTACATTGAACTCAATAGTGCCCTGTCACAGTGGAAAGCAAAGTCAAGCACCCACACCCAGAAGGAGCATTTGGGCCAGACCTGGCCAGAGGGGAATCAATCACCCATCCCAGCAGTCAGAGCTCGAGTTTCTTGGCAAGTCTTGCTACCATGGGCCAAAGTGCTCTGTGATCCTACATAAACTTGAAAGGCAGCCTAGGCCACAAAGACTGCAACTCCTAGAAAACTCCTAGTGCTGGGCTGTACTCAGACCTGGTGAACTAGAATGGCGTGTGACCTAGTGAGACAACAGCTTGGGTGGCTGGTGGAAGGCTTGCGCCACCCCTCCTCTAACCTTAGGCAGTGAAGCTCACAGCAGCAAATGTTTTGCCATTTTGCCTTCTTTCTGCTTACAAGAAGGAGAGTGAAGAGTAAAGAGAACTTTTTTCTTGTATCTTGGATACCAGCTCAGCCACAGTAGGATAAGGCACCAGGCAGAGTCACTAGGCCCCCCATTTTAATACCTAGCTTCTGGATGACATGTCTGGGTACATAAAATGTGGGCCAAAAGGGAACTCGCTGCCTTAAGGGAAGGACCCAGTTCTGGCAGGACTCATCGCCTGATGACTAAAGAGTCCTGAATTACCAGCAGTGATACCAAGTGTTGGCTTTGGGTTCTGAGATGTGCTGACTTCAGATATGACCCAGCACATTTCCAGCTGTGGTGGCTATGGTGAAAGACCCCTTCTGTTGGAGAAAAGCAGAGGGAAAATTAAAGGGGACTTTGTCTTACACCTCAGGTATCAGCTTGACCACAGTACAGTAGAGCATCAAGCAGGCCCCAGGTATCCCCAAGCCCAGCCCTATGTTCTTAGACAGCATTTCTAAACTTGCCCTGGTTCAAAGGGGAGACCACTACCCTGAAGGGTGAACCCTAGACCTGGCAGCATTCACCACAAGCTGACTAAAGAGCCGTTGGGTCCTAAGTGAACATCAGTGGTGGCCTGGCAGAATCCCTGGTGGGCCAGTGATTGTGCTGGCCACAGAAAGAGGCTCCTCTGCCTATGGAAAGGGGAAGGAAGAATGTGAAGGACTTTGTATTGTGTTTTGAGTGCCAACTTAGCCACAGTAGAATGGAATATTAGGTAAAATCCTAAGATTGTTTATTCCAATCCCTGGTTACCAGACAGCATCTCTGAACCCGCCCAGGGCCTGAGGGAACTAAACACCCTGAAGGAAAGGAAAGAAACCTGGCTGGCTTCACTACCTGCTGATCATAGAGCCCTAGGACCTTGAGTGAGTCTAGATGGTAACCAGGTAGTGGTTGGAGAGGGCCTTGAGTGAGATCCAGTGCTGTGCTGACCCAGAGCAGTCCCAGGGGTGCTTACATCACCATACCTCCAGTTCTGGGCAGCTTAACACAGAAAGAAAGACTGTGTGTGTTTGGAGAAAGCAAGGGAAAAGAACAAGAATCTCTGCTTGGTAATCCAGAGCATACTTCTGGATCTTATCCAAGGCTACCAAGGTAGAACCTCTATAAGTCTGCATAAATCAGTGTTATTAGGCTGGGGTCCAAGCCCCTTCAAGTATCTGGAAGGTCTTCTCAAGAAGGAAAGACACAAACAAGCCCAGACTGTAAAGAATAGAATAAATAACAATTCACTGCCCAGACACTGACAAACATCTACAAGCATCAAGATTATCCAGGAAAACATATCCTCAGCAATGAAGCTAGATAAAGTATCAGAGACCAAGCTTGGAAAAACAGAGATAGGTGATCTTTCAGACACATAATTCAAAATAGCAGTTTTGAGGAAACTCAAAGAAATTCAAGATAACACAGAGAAGGAATTCAGAATTCTATCATGTAAATTTAACAAAGAGATTGAGATAATTAAAAAGAATCAAGCAGAAATGCTAGAGTTGAAAAATGTAACTGATATGTTGAAGAATACATCAGAGTCTCTTAATAGTAGGATTGCACAAGCAGAAGAAAGAACTAGTGAGCTAGAAGACAGGCTGTTTAAAAATACACAGAGAAGACTAAAGAATGAAAGAATAACATTGATATATGCCTACTAGATCTAGGAAATAGTCTCAAAGGGGCAAACGCTAAGAGTTATTGGCCTTAAAGAGGAAGTAGAGAAAGATGTAGGGAAAGTTTATTCAAAGGGATAATAACAGAGAGCTTTTTTTTTCTTAAGACAGAGCCTCGCTTTTTTTGTTTATTTGTTTGTTTGTTTGTTTTTTGGTTTTTTTTAGACAGAGCCTCACTGGGTTGCCTTGCCCAGGCTGGAGTGCAATGGAGCAATCTTGGCTCACTGCCACTTCCATGTCCCGGTTTCAAGCAACTCTTGTGCCTCAGCCTCCAGAGTAGCTAAGACTACAGGCATGTGCCATCTCACCCAGCTAATTTTTATTTTTTAATAGAGACCGGATTTCACCATGTTGGCCAGGCTGGTCCTGAACTCCTAGCCTCAAGCGATCCACCCACCTTGGCCTCCCAAAGTACTGGGATTACAGGTGTGAGCCACTGCGCTCAGTCAGAACTTTCAAACCTAGAGAAAAATATCAGCATTCAAGTACAAGAAGGTTATAGAACACCAGATTTAACTCCCAAAAAAAAACTACGTCAAGGCATTTAATAATCAAATTCCCCAAGGTCAAGGATTTAAAAAGAGTCCTAAAAGCAGCAAGAGAAAATAAACAAGTAACATACAGTGAAGCTCCAATACATCTGGCAGCAAACTTTTCAGTGGAAACCTTAAAGGCCAGATGAGAGTGGCATGACATATTTAAAGTGCTGAAAGAAAAAGTCCTTTACCCTAGAATAATATATAAGGTGAAAATATCTGTGAAGGATGAAAGAGAAATAAATACCTTCCCAGACAAACAGAAGCTGAGGATTTTGTAGACACTACGTCTGTCCTACAAGGAATGCTAAGGCAGTTATTTCATCTGAAAGAAAAGAATTTTAGCGAGCAAGAAGATATCATTTGAAGTTACAAAACTCACAGGTAATAGTAAGCACACGGAAAAATACAGAATATTATAACACTGTAATTACAGTGTGTAAACTCCTCTTTTCTTAAGTGGAAGGAATAAATGGTGAACTAACTAAAAAAAGTCTACAGCCACTTTTCAAGACATAGACATTACAATAAGACACAAAGAGAAATGTAAAATATTAAAAAGCAGAGGTATGAAGATAAAGTGCAGAGTTTTTATTAGTCTTCTTTGTGTTTGTTTCTTTGCTTATTCAATCAGTGTTGTCATCAATTTCAAATAATGGGTTGTAAGATTATATTTGCAATTCTCATGCCTACCTCAAATTGAAAAACATAATGGATAAATAAAAAATAAAAAGCAAATAATTAAATTTTGCCACCACAGAAAATCACCTTCACTAAAAGGAAGACAGGAAGGAATGAAAGAAAAAAGTGAAGACCACAAAACAACCAGAAACCCAGTAACAAAATGACAGGAGTAGCTCCCTACTTATCAATAATAACATTAAATGTAAATGGACTAAACTCTCAAATAAAAACACAAGAGTCGCTAAATGGATGAAACAAAAAAGATGCAATGATCAGCTGCCTACGAGAAATAATCCATCTATAAATATACACAAATAAAGAGATGGAAAAATATATTACATGACAATGGAAACAGAAAAAAGCAGGAGTAGCTATGTTTATATCAGACAAAATAGACTTCAAGACAAAAACTGCAACAAGGGACATTATATCATTTATATAATAATAACAGCTTCAATTAAGCAAAAGGACATAACAGTTATAAATATGTATGCACCTGACACTGGATCACCCAGATATATAAAGCAAGTATTATTATAACCAAAGAGGGAGATAGACTCCAATACAGTAATAGATGGAGTCTTCAACAGCCCACTTTCATTATTGAACAGATTATCTAGACAGAATATCAACTAAGAAACATCAGACTTAATCTATTCTATACAACAAATATACCTAATAGATATTTATGGAACATTTTAATCTATAGCTGCAGAATATATATTCTTCTCCACAGCACATGGATTATTCTCAAAAATAGACCATATGTTACGTCAAAAAACAGGTCTTAAAAGCTGTATATGACTGACACACAGTTAAAATCATATTCAGTGGGGAAAACTTGAAAACCATTTCTCTAACATGTAGAACATCACAAAGAAGCCCACTTTCACCACTGTTATATGACAGTACTAGAAGCCCTTGCTAGAGCAATCAGACAAGAGGAGGAAATAAAGGGCATCCAAATTGGAAAGGAAAAAGACATATTAGTCTTTTTTTGCAGATTATATGATCTTATATTTGAAAACACCTAAAGACTCCACACAGACACACACAAAAACAAGCTTATTAAAACTTATAAACAAATTCAGTAAAGTTGCACAACACAAAATAAACATACAAAAACCAGCAGCATTTCTGAATGGCAACAACAAACAATCTGAAAAAATAAGAAAATGATCTCATTTACAATAACTACAAATAAATTTAAATATCTAGAAATTAACCAATATGAACAATCTCTACAATGAAAACTATATAACACTGATGAAAGAAATTGAGGACACCAAAAAATGAAAAGCAATTCCCGGTTCATGAATTGGAAGAATCAATATTGTTAAAATGCTCAAACTGCCCAAAACAATCTACAGCTTTATTGAAAAACTTATCAGAGTAACAATGACATTCTTCAGAGAAAAAAAAATCCTAAAATTTATATGAAACCATAAAAAAACCAGAATAGCCAAAGCTATCCTAAGCAAAAAGAACAAAACTGGTGGAATCACATAAGTTGACTTCAAATTATACTACAGACATATAGTAAGCAGAACAGCATGCTACTGTCATAGAAAACAGACATACAGACCAATGGAACAGAATAGAGAATCCAGAAACAAATCAACACACTTAACAGTGAACTCATTTTTTACAAAGATGCCAATGACATCCACTGGTAAAGAGATAGTCTCTTCAATAAACAGTACTGAGAAAACTGGAGATTAATATACAGCAGAAGAAAACTAGACCCTATCTCTTGCCATATACAAAAACTAAATCTAAATGGATTAACGACTTAAATCTAAATTCTCACAAACTATGAAACTACTACAAGAATACATTGGGGAAACTCTTTGGGACTTTGGTCTGTGCAAAGACTTCTTGAGCAATACCCCACAAGCACAGGCAACCAAAGCAAACATGGACTCATGGAATCACATCAAGTTAAAAACCTTCTACACAGCATAGGTGATAATCAACAGAGTGATGACACAATTAACAGAATGGGAGAAAATATTTTCAAACTACCCATCTGACAAGGGATTAAGAACCAGAATATATAAGGGGCTCAAAGAACTTGATAGGAAAAAAAATCTAATTATCTGATTTTAAAATGGGCAAAAAATTTGAATATATATTTCTCAAAAGAAGACATATGAATGACAAACAGTCAAATAAAAAGTGCTCAGTATTACTGATCATTAGAGAAACGCAAATCAAAACTACAATGAGAGATATCATCTCAATCTAGTTAAAATGGCTTTACTCAAGAGACAGGCAATAAATAATAAATGCTGGAGAGGATATTGACAAAAAAGTACCCTCATACACTGTTGGTGTGAATGTAAATTAGTACAACCACCGTGGAAAACAGTTTGAAGGTTCCTCAAATAATTAAAAATAGACCTAGCATATGATCCAATAATTTCACTGCTGGGTGAAAGGGAATCAGTATATTGCAGAGATCTGCACTCTCATGTTGATTGCAGCATTGTTCACAACAGTCAAGATGTGGAAGCAACTTAAAGGTCCATCAAGAGATGAACAGATAAAGAAAATGTGGTAGTTATGCACAATGGAGTACTATGGAGCCATAAGAAGAATGAGATTCTGTCATTTACAACAACATGGATGGAACTGAAGGTCGTTGTGTCAAGTGAAATAAACCAGGCAGACAAACGTCACATGTTCTCACTTATTTGTGAGACATAAAATACAAAATAGACATTCTTCTAGATGGTTACCAGGGGCTGGGAAGGATGGTGGGTATGTGTGGGGGGCAGTTAGGATGGTTAATGGGTACAAAAAATAGTTATTAAGAATGATTAAGACCTAGTTTTTGATAGCACAATACCGTCACTATATTCAATAATAACTTAATTGTACATTTAAAAATAACTAAAAGACTATGAATGGGTTGTTTGTAACACAAAGGATAAATGCCTGTGGGGGTATAAACACTCCATTTTCCATGATGTGATTATGGTGAATTCTGTGCTTGTTTCAAAATCTCTAATGTACCCCATAAATATATAAACCTTCTATGTGCCCACAAAAATTAAAAATTAAAGAAACACAATGTAGAAAAACAATGAAAAAAAGCTGTTTTTTTTTTAACTTTTAGTTTCAGTGGTACATGTGTAGATTTGTTATATAGATACAATGTGTGTCATGTGGGTTTGATGTACACATTATTTTGTCACCCAGGTAATAAGCACAGTACTCAATAGGTAGGTTTTTGATCTGCATACTCCTCCCACCCTCCACTCTCCAGTAGGCCTCGTTGTCTGCTGTTCCCTCCACTGAGTTCATGTGTGTTCGATGTTTAGCTCCCACTTACAAGGGAGAAGTACAGTATTTGGTTTTCTTTTCCTGTGTTCACTCAGAAAAATGGCCGTCAGCTCCATCCATGGTGCTGAAAAGAACATCATCTCTTTTTTTTTATGGCTGTAGAGTATTCCATGGTGTTTATGGAATTTTTATTTATCCAGTCTATCATTGATGGGCATTTAGGTTGACTCCATGTCTTTTCTATTGTGAATAGTGCTGCAATGAACATATGCATGCATATGTCTTTATGGTAGAACAACTTATATTCCTTTGGATATATACCCAACAATGGGATTACTGTGCTGAATGGTAATTCTAAGTTATTTGAGAAATTGCTAAACTGCTTTCCACAGTGACTACGCTAGTTTAAATTCCCACCAGCAGTGTTAAGTACTCCTCTACAATCTCACTGGCATCTGTTATTTTTTGACTTTTTAATAATAGCTATTCTGACTAGTGTGAGACAGTATCCCATTGTGGTTTTGATTTGCATTTATCTAATTATCAGTGATATTGAGCTTTCTTCATGTGCTTCTTGGCCATGTGTATATCTTCTTTTGAAAAGTATCCGTTCATTTCCTTTGCCCACTTTATAATGAGGATTTTTGTTCGTTTGTTTTTAGCTTGTTGCAGTATTTAAGTTTTTTTGTTTTTGTTTTTGTTTTTGTGACACAGTCTTGCTCTGTCACCCAGGCTGGAGTGCAGTAGCATGATCTCGGCTCACTTCAACCTCCACCTCCTGGGTTTAAGCCATTCTCCTGCCTCAACCTCCCCAGTGGCTGGGATTACAGGCACGCACCACCATGCTCGGCTAATTTTTGTATTTTTAGTAGAAACAGGGTTTCACCATGTTGGCCAGGCTGGCCTCAAACTCCTGACTTCGTGATCTGCCCGCCTTGGCCTCCCAAAGGGATTACAGGCTTGAGCCACTGTGCCCAGCCTTAAGTTTCTTATAGATTCTAGATGTTAGACTTTTGTCAGATGTATATTTTGCAAATATTTTCTCCCCTTCTGTGGGCTTGCTATTTACTCTATTGATAATATCATTTTCTGTGCAGAAGCTGTCTAGTTTAATTAGGTCCCATTTGTGAATTTTTGTTTTTGTTGCAATTGCTTTTGTCATCTTTTTCATGAAACCTTGGCTGAAACCTATGCCCAGACTGGTATTTCCTAGGTTGATTTCAAGTGTTTCTACAGTTTTAGTTTTCACATTTAAGTCACTATTCCATCTTGAGTTGATTTTTGTATATGGTGTAAGGAAGAGATCCAATTTCAATGTTTTGCATACAGTTAGCCAATAATCTCAGCACCATATATTGAATAGGGAGTCCTTTCCCCATTGCTTGTTTATGTTGACTTTTTTGAAGGTTATATGGTTGTACCTGTGCAGCTTTATTTCTGGGCTCTGTATGATGTTCCTTTGATATGTGTCTTTTTGTACCAGTGGCATGCTGTTTTGGTTATTGTAGCCTTATACTATAGTTTGAAGTCAGGTAATATCATGCTTCCAACTTTGTTGTTTTTGTTTAGGATTGATTTGGCCATTCCAGCTGTTTTTTTGTTCCATATAAGTTTTAGAAGAGTGTTAGCTAATTCTGTGACAAATTTCATTGGTATTTTGATAGGAACAGCATTGAATCTGTAAATTGCTTTTGGCACTGTGGCCATTTTAACAATATTGATTCTTCATATCCATGAGCACAGATTGAGTTTCTACTTGTTTGTGTCATCTCTGATTTCCTTCAGCAGTGTTTTGTAATTTTCATTGTACAGATTTTTCACCTTCTTGGTTAGTTGTACTTCAAGGTATTTTTTTTTTTGGTATGACTATTTTGTATGACTTGATACAGCACTCAGCTTGGACAATATTGCTGTATAGAAATACTGGTTTTTGTGCATTGATTTTGTATCCTGCAACTTTGCTGAAGTTGTTAATTAGATCTAGGAGCTTCTGGTCACAGACAATGGGGTTTTGTAGGTATTGAATTATATCACCTGAAAACAGAGATAGTTTGAGTTCCTCTCTCCTTATTTAGATGCCTTTATTTCTTTCTCTTGCCTGATTGCTCTGGCTAGGGCTTTCAGTACTATGTGTAATAGCAGTGGTGAGAGTGGGCATCCTTGTCTTGTTCTGGTTCTCAAAGGGAATACTTCCAGCTTTTGCCCATTCAGTATGATGTTGGCTGTGGATTTGTCATAGATGGCTCTTATTATTTTGAGGTATGTATCTCCAGTGCTTAGGTTGTTAGTGTTTTTGACATGAAGAAATGTTGAATGTTATCAAAAGCTGTTTCTGCATCTTTTGAGGTGATCATGTGATTTTGGTTTTAGTGTTGTTTATGTGATGAGACACATTTATTAAATTGCATATATTGAACCAACCTTGCAGCCAAGGGATAAAGCCTACTTGATTTTGGTGAATTAGCTTTTTGATGTGCTACTGGATTTGGATGGTTAGTATTTTGTTAATGATTTTTGCATCTATGTTCATCAAGAATATTAGCCTGAAGTTTTCTTTTTCTTGTGTCTCTGTCAGGTTTTGGTATCAAAATGATGACGGCCTCACAGTGTGAGTTAGAGAGGAGGTTCTCCTCCTCAGTTTGTTTGAAATAGTTTCACTGGGAATATTACCAGTGTATCTTCTCTGTATAACTGGTAGAATTCAGCTGTGAATCTATTTTATACTGGGCTTTTTCTGGTGGGAAGCCTTTTATTACTGATTTAATTTCAGAACTCACTATTGGTCCACTGAGGGTTTCAATTTCTTCCTGGTTCAGTCTTGGGAGATTGTTTGTTTCCAGGTATTTATCCATTACTTGTAGGTTTTCTAGTTTTTGTGAGTAGAGATGTTCATAATTTCAAAGTTTATGAGGGTTTTTAAAAAATATTTCTGTAGGGTCAGTGGTAATGTCACCTTCATTATTTCTGATTGTGTTTATTTGGACCTCTCTGTTTTTTTTCTTTATTAGTCTAACTAGCGGCCCATCAATCTTATTTATTTTTTTAAAATATCCCTAAATAAAAAAGTAGTCTCAAAATTTTTTAAAATAATTTTTCTCAGGTGGACTGGCATTTCACAATAACAAATTAATAATTTATATGTATATTTTACAGTGATAAAATATATATCAATTTTCTCTTCAAGATTAATTTATAATTTATGAATCAATATACAATATGCATAAATTAAAATTAAAAACAAACATTTTACCCAAAATGCTAGGTTTCTTGGATATCTGTAACTCATTATTTAAAAACAGATAAGTAAATAAATAAACCAACTAAGCCAGTAAAGGGCAGACCGGGAGGAAGTAGGAAAGAGGAGAGAGAGAGAAGGAAGGAAGGAAAGGAGGCAGAAAGGATTGATTTGCAAGTGTTGAATAATTATAAGCATGAAATAGGCTTCTCCCAAAATAAGTTTGATAAAATGTATGTAGTTTATGTAAGTCCTGTATTCTTTCACATTTACATCTTCAGTGAATGTCTTTGAAAACAGTATCAAGAACATCAATGGAGAAAATAGCATGTCTTCGATTGCATATCCTTGGAAATTTAAGTGCAATCAAACAATAAATTTTTTATATTTGGTCCAGAAACTTATTTGGGGAAAGTTAAACAATACCTTAGCTGGTTGCAGAAGATGCAGTAGCTTCTCTTTTCAGTACCCAGTGCCCTAATTGCTAACTTCTGAAGACATGTGTCATGGCTTTCAGTAGGGGACTTGAAAAGCTTATAAAACTAGTAAAACTGAAGGGAAAAATGCTTAAATCTTTACCTTCACGGAACTTGTCTTCAAATACAAGCATAATATAAGATGTACATCTTTTTATCTGTCCAGGCTATCCAAAGGAGCCTGTCTTTTAAAATATCTTCACCACTATTTATTTCTCTAAAATGTTGCTGTGTAAATCTTCATTATACTTACTACATCTGAAATTATTTTGTATGTATCAACGGTGTGTCGAAGGTATGCCATCCCTTAACTGAATGTAAAGTGAATGAAGATTTGGTCTTTTTGCATATCACTAGCAACCTGGGATAAGACTTAGAACACAGCAAGTCTCAAGAAATATTTTTAATTAAATGGTAAAGGAAAATGTTATTATCCCCATCGTTCTACATACTAAGACTTTTTTCTAACCACAAAACTACCTACCTGGCTCATACTTACTGACTTTTCTCTTTGTTCTATTTCTTTCCCACATGTTCCAGGCATTTTAGAGACTTCCCATCTGATTTTGGTTATTGATAGTTTTCCCATTCTTAAACGTGCTAGATATTCCCAATGATTAACTTTTAAATACCTATATGGTCCTGACCATGACATTGCTATGCTCAATATCATGCCAATAACATAAAATATTCAAGGCCTCCACAATTGGCTCCATTGTAGGTTTCTAAACACATCATCAGTTTCCCTAGAACTTCGGCTCAGGTACATAGAGTTTTCTTTGTTTTCTTAATTGCAGCAAGAATAACAACTTCATTCCCACAAGTGCTTCCTATGCACCAGGAACTATGCTAAGCACTTTTAAATCCATTATCTCATATAATCTTCATAACATTCTTGTAATTTAGTTACCATTGTTATATTCACAGTACAGGAACTTTGTCACAGAGCCAAGGAGTGTCACAGCCAGATTCAAACTCCCATAACTCTAACCTCACATTCTGTTCTTCATGCCACTGTTTCTCTGCTCACAGAATTTTTTCCGTCCTTGTTTTCTTGCTGTCCCTGTTTTTACTGTTTCTCTTTTCCCGTGCATAGAATTTCTTGTATGCCCAGCTCTCCAGTTATTTACATTGACTCAATCAGCTTCAAAGCCTAATTCACATACTACTTTCAGCTTGAAGCCCAAGTTTTAATTAAAATTTTGTACTGTTTTCATATCTCTTTATACTTCTTATATAGCAATGGCTGTATTCTTTGTTGTGCTATTATAAGGCCTATGTAGTCCTGCTTTTATAATCCCAAGTATATTTGTATCCCCATTGATGTCTGGTTTCCAAATACATCCATTAAAAATCTCTGAAATGATTCTCTTAAGAATGTGAACAATGAACATAAAAGAAAAAAGATCTCAAATATTTCACTAATATTTTCTCAATTTCTTTTGTTTAAAAAAATTAAAGATGCATATAATGAAATGTCAGAACTTAAGGAGAATAGCAAGAGGGAATTGTCCAACTCCATTTCTAATAGCCTTAGCTGGAATCCCAGGGAGGCAAAAAGGCAATTTTCAAGTTAAATCACGAATAAGTCCAAACCCAATTTTGTAATCACTTTTCCAGAGCTGATAAGCTGAGGGTTCATGAGGGAGCACTGCCTATTTCCTGTGAGACAACAGACAACATGCAAACTCCTGTCATTCTGTTCCTGCCTAAATATGCTAAAATAAGGAAAGGAGATTTATACAGGAAGGAAGGTAGCAAGGAAGGTAGGAAGGAAGAAAGCGATAGAAGGAGGAATAAAGGGGGGAGAAACATTAGGAATTTTAAGTGTATAATGTTTTAAATGTATACTTTTAAATGTATAATTTTAAATGAATAATAAAATGTAAAAATTAAGTATGAGAAAAATTATATTAATTTTTTTCTTATCTTTCTTTTTATGTACCTGTTAAGTTTCAGTAATTTACACAGTGTCTATATTAGTCTGTTCTCACACTGCTAATAAAGACATACTCAAGACTGGGTAATTTATAAAGGAAAGAGGCTTAATTGACTCACAGTTTAGCATGGCTGGGGAGGTCTCAGGAAACTTATAATAATGGAGGAGGGGGACGCAAACATGTACTTCTTCACATGGCGACAGCAAGGACAAGTGCTGAGTCAAAGGGGTAAGAGCCCCTTATAAAACCATCAGAACTCGTGAAAGTCACTCACTATCACAAAAACTGCATAAGAGTAACCTCCCCCATGATTTAATTACCTCACACCAGGTCCCTCCCATGACATGTGAGGATTATGGGAACTAGAATTTAAGATGAGATTTGGGTGGGGACATAGCCAAACCATATCAGTGTCTTAATCCCTTTGGAGTGCTGTAACAGAATACCATAGACCAGGTGGGTTATAAATAAAACAAATATATATTTCACACCTCTAGAGGCTGAAAAATACAATATCATGGCTCAGGCATATTTGGTGTCCGGTTGGGGCTGGTTTTCTAGTTCCTGGTTATATAGCTATCTTCTTATTGCAACTTCACAGGGTGCAAAGGCAAAGGAGTATGCTGGAACCTCTTTTATAAGGGCACTAATTTCATTCTTAATGTCTCACCTTCATGACCTAATCACTTCCTTAAGGTCCCACTTCTTAATATCATCACATTGGGGCTAAGATTTAATCCATGTTTTAAGAGAACACAATCATTCATTTTGTATCACACAGAATGTTATAAAGTCATGATGCTACAGTGATGTCAAGTATGAGATACCCACGTGGTACACAGAACTGAATAAAATCCAAATTAGAAGAATAGGTAGAATGGTCTCACTCTGCTCACCATCCTCTACCTTTACTGCAAGTCAGCACAATGCCACACTAGACAGTATTTTCCTGGGCTTGCAGGGAGAAAAGACAACCAGAAGTAGTCATCCAGCTTCCCTAGCATTCTGAAACACTTCCCAAGAAGCCCAATCCAGTCTCACCTCACAGGGAGTACTAAGGGAAATAGCACAACTTGACCCTCCACCCACTTCCCCTGTCCCCCTTCCCCTCCCCCAGGGTGGGGGGTTGGGGGCGGTTAGGTAGAAACAAAGAAAGTGAATAATGCATGCATTCTGGTTGAACCTCTGTGTTCCTGTGATCAATCAGAGGTATCAAACAAGCTCATACGGTACCACAAAGCTGAGCTGGTTGACTTCAGAAGCATTATGGGAAGTAAAATCTAGCTTGAGCTCCTAGACTGCTAGTCTCCCTGCCCAGCCTCAGAGCCCACGGCAGTGACCTGCCCAGTCAGAGAGACTGCCACCTCTGTTGATTCTAGAGATTCAGAGGGGCTGATCCAGTTTGACCCAAGAAGGCAAGCATTCCATTGTATACTATTAAGCTGTAAGAACAAAACAAAACAAAACAAGAAATTCTGCCATTTGAGACAACATGGATGAACCTAGAGGACATTATGTTAAGTGAAACAAGACAGGCACGGAAAGACAAAAACCATATGATCTCACTCATATGTTAAATTTAAAAACTTGAACTTAGAGAAATAGAGCATAGAATGGTGGTTTCCAGAGGCTGGAGCATGGAGGAAGAGAAAGGGGTAGATGTAGAATCAGAAGACATTGGTCACAGGGTACAAAGTTATAGTTATTTAGGAGGATAAAGTTCTGCTGTTCTATTGCACAGTAGAGGGATTATAGTTAATAATAATGTATTGTATATTTTAAAATAGCTAGATGAGAAGATTGTGAATGTTTTCACCACAAATAAATGATAAATGAGGTGCAAATATAACAATTACTCTGATTTGTTAATTACAAAACGTATACGTGTCAAAACATCACTTTGTACACCATATGTACAATTATTACTTATCAATTAAATTTTTTTAAAAAATTGTAGTAGTTTTCAAAATACATAAAACTTAGTCTCTCTGGATGTGTGAACTAGTTCAAACAGGTATTTTCCAAAAGGCATTGTGTAAAACACTTATTCAAGTTATATGCATTGAAAAAGATATTTCTAAGGCATAGTCAGAAAATGCAGCATTTTATATTATGCATGTGCACTTTAATGAAGGACATTAAATATTTTAATAATTCCTGCATAAAGCCCTTGTTTAATTCCGGTTAATCATGAGTTTCTCAAATTTGCTTGACAAAGTTAACCAACCCCTTATCTTTTTTTTTTTTTTTTTTCGTTTTGCATTTGAAATACACCAGCAGAGTTGGAAGGAGAATAAGGAATAACTCTCTTGGTTACCACCACAGAATACTGCCACATGACCCAAAAAGTCTTAAAAAAAAAAAAAAAGTATTCTGTTAGTGGTAAAAATGTTACAGGACACTTCAAATAAATTTGTTCTACAATTCGCACCTTGATTTTGCCCTTCATATTTAGAGTTGTACTATCAGACAATAAACCAAACACAAAAGCTTTCATTTCAATGTTCTGATGATATATTTGATCTTCTGTTGGCCTTGAAAAAGGCACTCTAGAGAAAAAAGACTATCTAATGATTTTTAAATGCCATTTACCCCACCACTACTTATAAATGATTGCACCATCAGTGTCCTTATAATTGGGATAAAGATTGTGTGTTAACTGGCTCATTCTTACATGTGTGATCAATGAGAACAGGGGCTGGACCACATTGCCTGAAAATTATTTTAAGTTACTATTTTTTCCATAGAAGAAAAGAGAAACAATAAAAGAGGAAGTGGTCAGAGAAAGAGTGAACTTAAAAGAGTATTTTTTTGTGTGGGTATTTTAGTGTCGCCCTTCTGTGAATTTCAAGGCTAAGAATTTGAAATTATAATCAGTAATGTGTAGATATTTCCTAAGAAAAAAATCTATCCCTATCCTGAGGAAAGTCTCTTTATTAGGATACTGTCATCCATTTCTTAAAGACAGAGAATTTTTAGTACAAAAAAGATGTAACTATTCTTAGATTGCTAAAGCATTATCAGTAAAGCATTGGGCTTTATTAAAGACCTTTATCAGCATTTAGCATTTTCATATATTATATATATTTAATATCCCTGTATTCCTGAGGTAAACTTACTTACTTATGGCATACTATGTTGCAACTCTTCTATAAATTTCAAATTGGTGGCATTTCATTAGGTAGTTTTGCCCCTATATACAGAAATAAGACTGGTTGTGAGTTTGCAATCCTGGTCTACATTAGATATATGACAGTTGTGCAGTATGCATAGAATATTTTTCCTTTCTTTTAATATTTAAAAATGTTTCTCAATTTAGATAATTCACTGATTAAAAACATCTGCACTCATATTCAATTTGGGAAATATCATTATAATATTTTATTAATCTCTTATTTGGAAATTGACAAATTCTGTTGTATTGGATGTTCTCAAGTTAATATTGATTCTTTATGTTTTTTAATAAGGTAAATATTTTATAGAGTTTTTCTAAATAAGCAGAATTGTACAGTATCCAATTATAATTTAACTGTATTTGTCTTGTTCTTGTTAATTTATCTCTTCTTGTTTTGATTAAACTTCACAAATTTGTGTGTATATTTAATATTATTTTAAAAAGAGCTGCCTATAAGCTCCTGAATGGGGCTGCTGCCTTCTTTCAAAGATGCGCTGTACAGAGAGGAGGAACCTAGAAATGCAGTCTGGCTACAGCAGCTTTGCCGAGCTGTGGTGAGCTCTGCCCAGTTCGAAATTCCCAGCGGCTTTGTTTACAGTGTGAGGGAAAAAATGCCTACTCAAGCCTCAGTAATGGTGGATGCCCCTCCCCTCACCAAGCCCGAGTGCCCCAGGTTGACTTCAGACTGCTGTGCTGGCAGCGAGAATTTCATGCCAGTGGATCTTAGTTTGCTGGGATCCATGGGGTTAGGATCCACTGAGGTAGACCACTTGGCTCCCTGGCTTCAGCCCCCTTTCCAGGGGAGTGAACGGTACTGTCTTGCTGGTGTCCCAGGCACCACTGAGTATGAAAAAAATTCCTGCAGCTAGCCCAAATGGCCACCCAGTTTTGTGCTTAAAACCCAGGGCCCTGGTGGTACAGGCACTGGAGGGAATCTCCTGGTCTATGGGTTGTGAAGACCATGGAAAAAGCATAGTATCTGGGCCAGAATGCACCATTCCTCACGGTACAGTCCCTCACGACTTCCTTTGGCTAGGGGAGGGAGTTCCCTGACCCGTTGCACTTCCCGGATTAGGCAACACCCCTCCCTGCTTTGGCTCACCCTCCATGGGCTGCATCCACTGTATAACCAGTTCCGCCGAGATGAGCTGGGTACCTCAGTTGGAAATGCAGAAATCACTTGCCTTCTCCATTGATCTACTGGGAGCTGCAGACCAAAGCTGTTCTTATTCAGCCATCTTGCCAACCAACTCCCATCTCCCTGGGATAGAGCACATCTGGGAAGGTGTGGCTGTGGGCTCAGCTTCAGCAGACTTAGAGATTCCTGCCTGCCAGCTCTGAAGAGAGCAGTGGATCTCCCAGCACAATGCTCGAGCTCTGCTAAGGGACAGACTGCCTCCTTAAGTGGGTCCCTGACCCCCGTGCCTCATGACTGGGAGACACCTCCCAGCAGGAGTCAACAGACACCTCATACAGGAGGGCTCTGGCTGGCATCCAGCGGGTGCCCCTCTGGGACGAAGCTTCCTGAGGAAGAAACAGGCAGCAATCTTTGCTGTTCTGCAGCCTCCACTGGTGATACCGTGGCAAACAGGGTCTGGAGTGGACCTCCAGCAAACTCCAGCATACCTGGAGCAGAGGGGCCTGACAGTTAGAAGGAAAACTAGCAAACAGAAAGGAATAGCATCAACATCAACAAAAACGACACCCATACAAAAAGCCCATCCAAAGGTCACCAACATCAGAGACCAAAAGTAGATAAATACACGAAGATGAGGAAAAACCAGCATAAAAAGGCTGAAAATTCCACAAACCAGAATGCCTCTTCAAAAGATCACAACTCCTCACCAGCAAGGGAACAGAACTGGACAGAGAATGAGTTTGACGAATTGACAGAAGTAGGGTTCAGGAGGGGGTGGGTAATAACAAACTCCTCTGAGCTAAAGGAGCATGTTAGAATCCAATGCAAGGAAGCTAAGAACCTTGAAAAAAGGCTAGACAAATTGCTAACTAGAATAACCAGTTAAGAGAAGAACATAAATGACCCAATGGAGCTGAAAAGCACAGCACAAGAACTACATGAAGCATACACAAGTATCAATAGCTGAATCAATCAATTAGAAGAAAAGATATCAGAGATTGAAGAGCAACTTAATGAAATAAAGCATGAAGACAAGATTAGAGAAAAAAGAATGAAAACGGAATGAACAAAGCCTCCAAGAAATATGGGACTATGTGAAAAACGAAACCTATGTTTGATTGGTGGACCTGAAAGTGACAGGAAGAATGGAACCAAGTTGGAAAACATTCTTCAGGATATTATCCAGGAGAACTTACCCAACCTAGCAAGACAGGCCAACATTCAAATTCAGGAAATACAGAGAACACCACAGAGATACTCCTCGAGAAGGGCAATCCCAAGACACATAATCATCAGATTCACCAAGGTTGAAATGAAGAGAAAAAATGTTAAGGGCAGCCAGAGAGAAAGGTCAGGTTACCCACAAAGGGAAGCCCATCATACCAACAGAGGATCTCTCTGCAGAAACCCTATAAACTAGAAGAGAGTGGGGGTCAATATTTAACATTCTAAAACAAAAGAATTTTCGACCCAGAATTCCATATCCAGCCAACTAAGCTTTACAAGCAAAGGAGAAATAAAATCCTTTACAAACAAGAAAATCCTGAGAGATGTTGTTGCTACCAGGTCTGCCTTACGAGAGCTCCCGAAGGAAGCACTAAATATGGAAAGGAAAAACTGGTACCAGTCACTGCAAAATCATGCCAAATTGTAAAGTCCATCGACACCATAAAAAAACTGCAACAACTAATGGGCAAAATAACCAGCTAGCAACATAATGACAGGGTCAAATTCACACATAATTATACTAACCTTAAATGTAAATGGGCTAAATGCCCCAATTAAAAGACACAGACTGGCAAACTGGATAAAGAGTCAAGACCAATCAGTGTGCTGTATTAAGGAGACCCATCTCATGTGCAAAGACACACATCGGCTCGAAATAAAGGGATGGAGGAATATTTACCAAGCAAATGGAAAGCAAAGAATAGCAGGGGTTACAATTCTAGTCTCTGATAAAACAGACTTTAAACTAAAAGAAAGATCAAAAAAGACAAAAAAGGGCATCACATGATGGTAAAGGGATCAATGCAACAATAGGACCTAACTATCCTAAATATATGTGCACCCAATACAGGAGCACCCAGATTCATAAAGGAAGTTCTTAGAGACCTACAAAGAGACTGAAACTCCCACACAATAATAGTAGGAAACATTAACACACCACTGTCAATACTAGACAGATCAATGTACAGAAAATTAACAAGGATATTCAGGACTTGAACTCAGCTCTGGACCAAGCAGACCTAATAGACATCTACAGAACTCTCCACCCCAAATCAACAGAATATACATTCTTCTCAGCACCACGTCACATTTATTCTAAAATTGTCCACATAATTGGAAGTAAAACATTCCTCAGCAAATGCAAAAGAATGGAAATAATAACAAACAGTCTCTCAGACCACACTGCAATCAAATTAGAACTCAGGATTAAGAAATTCACTCAAAACCGCACAACTACCTGGAAACTGAACAACTTGCTCCTGAATGAGTACTGGGTAAATAACAAAATTAAGGTAGAAGTAAATAAGTTATTTGAAACCAATGAGAACAAAGACGCAACGTACCAGAATCTCTGGGACACAGCTAAATCAGTGTTTAGAGGGAAATTTATAGCACTAAATGCCTACAGAGGAAAGTGAGAAAGATCTAAAATCAATACCCTAACATCACAATTAAAAGAACTAGAGACACAATAGCAAATTCAAAGCTAGCAGAAGATAGGAAAAAACTAAGATCAGAGCAGAACTGAAGGAGATAAAGACACGAAAAACCCTTCAAAAAAATCAGTGAATCCAGGAGCTGGTTTTTTAAAAGATTAACAAAACAGACCACTAGCCAGACTAATAAAGAAAAAAAGAGAGAGGAATTAAATAGACACAATAAAAAATGATAAAGAGGAGATCACTACTGATCCCATAGAAATAAAAAGTACCATTAGAGAATACTATAAACACCTCTGTGCAAATAAACTAGAAAATCTAGAAGAAATGGACAAATTCCTGGACACATACATCCTCCCAAGACTAAACCAGGAAGAAGTTGAATCCCTGAATCAGCAAATAACAAGTTCTGAAATTGAGGCAGCAATTAATAGCCTACCAACCAATAAAAGCTCAGGACTAGACGGATTCACAGTCAAATTCTACCAGAGGTACAACGAGGAGGTGGTACCATTCTTTCTGAAACTATTCCAAACAATAGAAAAAGAGGGACTCCTCTCTAACTCATTTTATGAGGCTAGCCGCATCCTGATGCCATAACCTGGCAGAGACACAACAAAAAAAGAAAATTTCAGGCCGGTATCCCTGATGAACATCGATGCAAGAATCCTCAATAAAATACTGGCAAACTGGTTCCAGCAGCACATCAAAAAGCTCATCTACCACAATCAAGTTGGCTTCATCCCTGGGATGCAAGGCTGGATTCAACATATGCAAATCAATAAACACAATCCATCACATAAACAGAACCCATGACAAAAACCACATGATTATCTCAATAGATGCAGAAAAGGCCTTTGATAAAATTCAACACCTCTTCATGCTAAAAACTCTCAATAAACTACTTATTGATGGAACGTATCTCAAAATAATAAGAGCTATTTATGACAAACCCACAGCCAATATCATACTGAATGGGCAAAAGCTGGAAGCATTCCCTTTGAAAAGCGACACAAGACAAGGATGCCCTCTCTCACCACTCCTATTCAACACAGTATTGGAAGTTCTGGCCAGGGCAATCAGGCAAGAGAAATAAATAAAGGTATTCAAATAAGAAGAGAGGAAGTCAAATTGTCTCTGCAGATGACATGATTGTATATTTAGAAAATCCCGTTGTCTCAGCCCAAAATCTCCTTATGCTGATAAGCACCTTCAGCAAAGTCTTAGGATACAAAGTCAATGTGCAAAAACCACAAGCATTCCTATACACCAATAATAGACAAAGAGCCAAATCATGAGTGATCTCTCATTCACAATTGCTATAAAAAGAATAAAATACCTACAAATACAACTTCACAGGGTCCTTCACAGGGATGCGAAGGACCTCTTCAAGGAGAACTACAAATCACTGCTGAAGGAAATAAGAGAGGACGCAAACAAATAGAAAAATATTCCATGCTCATGGATAGGAAGAATCAGTGTTGTGAAAATGGCCATACTGCCCAAAGTAATTAATAGATTTAATGCTATCCCCATCAAGCTACCATTGACTTTCTTCACAGAATTACAAAAAACTACTTTAAATTTCATACATAACCAAAAAATAGCTCATATAGCCAAGATAATCCTAAGCAAAAAGAACAAAGTTGGAGGCATCACGCTACCTGACTTCAAACTACCTTTAGGATATTGTCTAGCATATTTTTCTCATTTCTAGTTCATTAATATTGATATATGTCTTTATTATTATCCTTCTTTAGGCTTTATTTTGCACACTTATTTCTGAAATTAAATCCATTGCTTTTTTTCTCATTCAAAAGACAATGCATAATTTAACTTTATGTATATACTGTTAAATACAGCTTGAAAATATACCATAGATTTTCATACATGTGTTTCCTATCTTACTAGTTCATTGGTAATTCGTAACTTATGTGTGTATATTGACCTGACAATTACATAAGGCATTTCTTAAATTAAAAGGTACTTTGTTTTCCTTCTTAAAATTTGCATATGTTATTAATGAAAATAAGCCTTTTTGAATTAACTTTTATAATGATATATTAATTTGTCACTTGTAATTTCTTGTATGTATGTAAATATAAATAATAAAAATATATGCATTATATTTATATGAAATGATTAATGTAATAAATACTATTAGGTGTATCTGTTGGTCTAACTTTAATTTTTTGTTATTAAACTTCATACATCACTATGATTTAAATATTATTTTTATGAATATCAAAGGATTGGACATCAACTTTTAGCCCAAACTTAAAAGTGTTGTTATTTGGAAGTGATTTTAGTTTATTTCCAATTATAGGGGATCGCATCACATTTTATATTTGGATTTCTTTTTTTTTTTTGCTTATTACAATTTCTTTTTATTTTTTGTGCTGACTGCTTACCTTTTTATTTCCCTAAATATTTGGTATTTATACTTTACAACTTTTTAAATAATTGTGTTTACTCAGAAGTTTTTGACAAATTACTTTGAACAAGTTTTACCTTATTATTTCTGTAAAAACAGAAAGTATATGTTAGTTCGCTCACAGTATGAAATGGAAAATATATCATGCATCTTTCTCAAAAATCTTACATTATGGTTTAATTTTCTATAATCTAGGATTTAAGAATCAAGTTTTGATAAATAGGCATTGACATAACATTTGGGTTTCTTTTAAAAAGTGAATATTTATAATATGTGTGTATAATCCTTATAATGTTAATAATCATTTATATATATATTTATATATCTATGTGTATATGTATGCATGTATGTTTCCCATACAGTTGCCTGCAGAGTATTGGTCTGCTTTAATTTTTAAATTAAAATTGAGTATTTTCTTCTAGAAATTAATTATATATGATTAAATACAAAGTTATAATGTTTTATATGTTGATATTATATTTCAATATGTGATAAAATTATTATTGCATGTATAATGTTAACAAGTATTTTAATATGTTTTATAGATAATTATCTGTATTTTTCCTATCACCATATTACAGAGAATTATCCATGTCCATATTTCTAATTAGTTATTAGGATTGCTAAAAGTATACTTCAAGTACAGAATGGATATAGCATATTTAATTTCATCAAGATCTATTAGTAGATATAAAGGGTTTTAACAAAATTTAAATAATTTTTTGATGGATATTCTTATGTAGCCCACCTACATAGTTGCAAGTTACTCTGGATGATGGAGTAGAACTAATGTGTTGCAGCATGTATATATTTTTAGGTTTATGGGGCTGCCAAATGAACTTTTGATATAGCATTGCTCTTTAATGCTTCTACCAGCATCGTGTCTGAATACCTATATCTTCACATCTTGGGCGATTCAATAACATTATTCTTTTTAAAAATGTGTGTACTTTAATGAAATATAAATTTTAAAAAGGGAATGATTATCAATTAGTTACCAATCTGGAGGAGCTCTTTAAAAAACTGTTGGTTGTTTTAAATTCTCTCCAAGCGAAAATGTTCCATAAATTTTCTCACACAGAACATGTCTGTATACCCAGTAACCAGATCAAGAAAGGGAACATGACCAGCACCTCAGAAAACCCTTTCATGCTCCCAGTTCTTTAACCACTCCCAGTAAGGGTAACTAACTACTATCCAAATTCCTAAAGGTGTAAGTTAGTATAGTCTATTTTTTGTACTTTACATAAACAGAATTGTGGAATATAAACTCCTCCATTTTGCTTATTTGGTTCAACCTTGTATGTTTGAAATAATCCACACTGTTCTGTGAAGTAGTTAGTTCATTCTCATAGCTATATATAGCATTCTGTTGTGTGACTATCTCACAATATGTTTACCTATTATATGTTCATTGGTGTTTAATAGTTTCCATATTGTGTGATTATAACACAGTATGTTTACCTGTTCTTTGTTGGTGGGTGTTTGAATAGTTTCCAGTTTGAGGCTGTTAGGAGTAGTTATGCAACGATTATTCTTTTTTATTTTTGGTGAATATATGTACACATTTCTGTTGAAAATATACCTGTGAGTACAGTTACTGTGTCATTAGATATATTTAGTTGTAGTAAATATTATAAACACTTTTCCAAAGTAGTTTTACAAATTTAACATCCAAATAATTTCTTTACAAGGCTGCCAGTATTTGGTATTTTCTCTTTTTTATCTGACACATTATTCTGGATATATAATGATATCTAATAATTTTAATTTGTTTTTTCATGATCAGTGATAAACTTTCACATGTTTATTGACCATTTGGATAATTTTAGCTCATTTTTGCTATTGAGTTGTCTTTTAAAAAATGTCAATTTATAGTTTTTATTAAGAAGGTCTTTTATATGCCACGTATCTTCTCATACTCCAATGATTTTTTTATATTTTACATGATCTCTTTCTCTCTAGATAGCTGAAAATTATTCTCATTTTAATTTGCATTTTTTAGCTACTACCTAGGATAAACATTTTTATGTTTATTGGCTATTTTATTTTTCTCTCCAGTGAAATGTCTTGTACTATTTGCATAATGTTCTTAGGCCGTTTCTCTTTTTCTTATTTATTTTCAGTAATTTAAAAATTGGGCCTGGATATTAGGTTTATTTTTTTCAGTTTCAAACATTTCCCAGTCCATGCTTATCATTTAACATATTTAAATTCCTTCATAGCTAACGTATAAAGTCCTAACTTTATGGTGTTTGCAGTTTGAATATTGGTTAACATGGCCTTAAATGTCTTTCTCAATAACATAAACATTTTATTTTTGTACAAAAAATTGGTTACTCATATTTATTTACTTTTTGATTTATAAGATTGTCTAGAATTTGCTGTTATGAAGGTATTTGAATAATTTTTCTGTAAATATTATTATTTTTCTCTTTTAATTAAATGTAGTGATTTACATGGGTTACATTTAGATAGTACAGGAAGAGATGTATTATAACAGATTGTCTCCCACATTTATGGAGCCAGAGAAACCTCATGATCTGCTCCCTATAAGTGATAGGGCCAGAAAAGCTGGTGGTATAGTTCCAGCTTCAAAGTCTGAAGGCCTGAGAATAGGGTGTTGGAGCATAGGAAAAAGTGAGGCCAATTGTGTAATTCTTTGATTTCTAGTCCTAGACCAAAGGGCTGAGAATTAAAAAACTAATGTCTAAGGGTAGAAGATGGATGTCCTATTCTAAAGTGAATCTCTTCTAGAAATACCCTCATAGACACAGCTATCTGAGGATATGTTAGCCTATTCAGGTTGACATGTAAAATTACAATAATTCCCCTTTGCTTGCAGTATGGCTTTCCAGGGTTTCAGTTACTCACATGGTCAAGCAAAATCTGAAAATATCAAATAAAAATTCCTGAAATAAGCAAACTGTAAGTTTTAAATTGTGTGCTGTTCTGAGTAGCATGATGAAATCTTGTGCCATTCCACTCTGTCCTGGCTGGGATGTAAATCACCCCTTCATTCAGCATATTTATGAGGTGTTATGCTGCCCACCCTTTAGTTACCTAGTAGCTATCAACTATCACAGAATCTCAGTGCTTGTGTTCAAGCAATCCCTATTTTACTTAATAATGGCCCCAAAGCACAAGACTGGTGATGCTGGCAATTCACATATGCCAAAGAGGGAAGCTTTAAAGTGCTTTCTTTAGGGAAAAGGTGAAAGTTTCTCACTCAACAAGAAAAAAATATCTTACGCTGAGGGTACTAAGATCTATAGTAAGAATCTTCTTATCTATGAAATTGTGATTAAGGAAAAAGAAATTTGTGCTGATTTGCTGTTGAATCTCAAACTGCAAAAGTTATAGCCACAGTGCATGATAAGTGCTTAGTTAAGATGGGAAGGACACTAAATCTCCAGATGAAAGACATTAACAGAATGTGTTCCAACTGACGGCAATCAGATTTGGTATTATCTGTGGTTTCAGGCATCTACCAAGGGTCTTGAAACATATACTCAATGCATAATGGGGACTACTGTAGTCATCACAAAAATAATAAAATTTTTTAAATAGGCAAAAGAATTAAACAAACATCTCTCCAAAGATATATGGATTACAATAAAGCACATGAAAAGATAGCGAACATTAGAAATTATGCAGGTTGATGCAAATTGCAATTTGACACCACAATGAGATACTACTACATACCTATCAGAATGCTTAAAATTCAAAAGCCTTCATAATAACAAGTGTTGAGAACATGTAGTGACTCTTGAAAACTGCTGGTGGGAAAATAAAACACTGCACTTGCTTGGGAAAATAGCCTGGCAGCTTTGTAAAACATTAAATTTATGCTTAGTATGTGACACAACTATTCTTCTTCTAGATGCTTTACTCAAGGAAAATGACTGAATCTATCCATTCGATATTTTCAAAATAAATATTTAGAGTACCTTTATACTACTAGCCAAAAACTAGAAATCAAGAAAATGTTCAAAATACATTAATAGACCAAGCAACTGTGGTATAAGTGGAGTTTAACTCAGTAATATAAAAGAATAAACTATCAATGCATGCAATAACCTAAAAGAATATCATAATTATCATGCTATTTGAAAGAAGGATATTGACAGTATCAAAATCATACTATATGATTTCATGTATGTAAAATTCTAGAAAATGCAAACTGATCTGTCATTTTGTTACCTGGATATGGCAGGTAGAATCAAGCAGGAGGGGGTTAAAAAAATTACACAGAAAGTTTGGGAATTGATATATTATCTTGAAGATATTGATGGTTTCATGGGTGTATGCATTATGTCAAAACTTATCAAATGATACACTTCAAATATGTGAAGTTTACTTCTTGTCAATTACATCTAAATAATGACATTTACAAAAAGACATGAAGAATTTACAAGAGAAAGGGAGCATCAGACACTGTATACCACTATCTCATGCCTTGATTTAACCTGAGTTAAACTGAGCTTCTGGAGCTGGTTGCCTATTTTATTTGCAGGAAATACAGAAGGCAAAAGACCATGTTGAATGATACCATGAGCATATATCAGCAAAATTTTAAATGTTTTCAAATCTATGGGGTTAAATTTATGGCAATGATGGGATTTGGTTCAGGGATGTGATTAACTTTGTATCTTAACCTGGATGGTGTTTATAAGATATATTGCCTATGCAATGTATTAAGATAAATATTTATTTTATATGGGTTGTGGTTTTCATTTGTAACCATAGAAGTGTTTTAAAAATGTAATTTACCATAGGAGTGAATTTACTAAAAGATCTTTTAAAATGGTCTTCACCTCTATTATAATTTCCATCCCAATAATCCATTATCCACAGGTGCCGGTTCTCCAGAAATGAATTTTAAGACTCTTTTCTCTCATACCAAGTTAGAACTGCAATTCCTGGACAACAAACAACAATTTTGTTTGTTTTTGCGTATTGCTTTCCACCTATAACTTTAAACTTTCCGTTACTATAGTCACTAAAATCCCTTTATCTGCTAAATCCAATGATTGCTAATAAGTTTCATCCTACCAAAGTTACATGGGATGTGGCAGGCTTAAAAATGGCCTGAAAAGATATCCAGGATTAAATTCCCGGAATCTGTAGATATCACCTTATTGAGTAAAAGGTTCTTTTCAGATGTGATAAAGTAAAGGTGAGATGAGGAGGCTATTTTTGATTATCTGAGTGGGTCCTAAATGCAATCACAAGTATCCTTATAAGAAAGAGACAGAGAGAAATTTGATACACACAGAGGAGGAGGTGATATAAAGACAGAGCAGAGACAGAGAGTTAAAGTTGCTGACCTTGAAGATTGGAGTCAAGTGGGCACAAGCCAAAGAATGCCAGCAGCCACCAGGTGCAGGAAGCAGGGGATGGATTGTCTCTAGAGCCTTTAGAAGGAGTGAAATCCTGCCTTGATTTCAGCCCAAGTTACTGATTTTGAACTTTTGGCCTTTAGAATTCTGAGAAAATACATTTGTTTTGTTTTAAACTATCAATCTGTAGTAATTTGTTCAGCGTCCACAATAAACTCACACACGCGGCATACAGACTTACTCACTGCTCCACTATTGGATTGTTTTCTTTCTTTAATTTCCAGACATTCATGTTTCCCTCCTGATTCTCTGAGCAGTCAACAGCTCTGCATTTTTTAAGTTTAATGCTCAAATTTCCTTTTTTCCCTCCATTTTCCCTGATATATATATATATATTTAGCACTCTTCTCAATCCGCTTAAGGATTCTTATTCACTCTGTATTTTTCTCTTCTACTTATGGTAAAATGATCTTCAAATTCCTAAACCAAGTCTAGCCATTTCTAAGTCAAAATCCATAAATCTAACTTTCTTTGGACTTCTTCACTTGGATATCACGTAACCGCCAACTCATACCCAATGTAGAGAATCTCCACTCATATTTTTCTCACAAAAATTTTTTACTGTTCTACCCTCTATAAAAAACAGTCAGTCATCTCAGAGAAGACATTTCATACTCATAAATTCTTCATTTCCCTTGTCTCATGTAAACAATCACTTCCAAATGACTGTTTCCAGTTCATGTTAATGGGAAAACAAAGTTGGCAGAGCACATTATTTTCTCTGTTTTAAATTATAACAACTAAATTACTATTTTAAATTTCATTTGTAAAAATTATTGCTGACCAGGTGCAGTGGCTCACACCTATAATCCCAGTACTTTGGGAGGCCGAGGTGGGTGGATCACAAGATCAGGAGATTGAGACCATCCTGGCTAACACGGTGAAACCCCATCTGTACTAAAAATACAAAAAATTAGCTGGGCGTGGTGGTGCACACCTGTAGTCCCAGCTACTAGGGAGGCTGAGGCAGGAGAATGGCGTGAACCTGGGAGGCGGGGCTTGCAGTGAGCCGAGATTGGGCCACTGTACTCCAGCCTGGGTGACAGAGCAAGACTCTGTCTCAAAAAAAGAAAAAAAACTATTGCTAAATTACTACAAAATAGAACTTTTGATTTCATAACAATTGGCATTGATATGTACTGGCAGGAAGTCTTCATCAATCTCAAATTTAGAACTCTTTGTAGTTTTGCCTTTGACCTTTACAAGCAGTTCTGGGAATATGTCATAGGAATAGAACATTGTTGGATAGAAGGAATTAAAAATATTCTAGAGGATTCTAGGATGAAAGCAAAGCAGCAAGGATTCCTGGATACGTATACCCACCTAGACAACAATTGCATTGGCAAAATTAGTCTGATGTAAGTATTTGGGAGTTCCAGAGTCTATTCCAAGGATTGCAACTCCCAGGGGAAGATTTGCAAGGTAAATTTCAGTTAATGTAAGCCTATTTCAGCTGCTAGCAGTGTAGCAGCTATCCAACCCCTAGAATCCATGGCAGGCAACTGTGTATATGTTCCTGGAAAGGCTGAACAGAGCTTGTGAGAGCCAGAGTGGACAAAAAGATCCTGTCCACCAAAAATTGGGGATTTATTTTTTAATTGTTGATTGCTTCTTTTGGTCTTGGAGGCATAGATACATAAGTGAGCAGCAATTGTTGTACCTCTTGCTCTAATGTTGCAAGCCCCTCCCACTTTGATGAAGCAACGTCCAGGAAATTTAAAGGGCCAGAGCCTTTTTTCTCCCCATCTTCATTTTTCTCTTTTTACCCATTTAGGAATCAGACAGTAAAACCCTAGAATATTCAAAAGAAAACCAAATATATGGAGGAATTAGAAAGTTATTATATACAACCAGTGATAGTCACAGGCTTAAAAAGGCCCTCAAAAGATCTAAAGCTTATATATCTGACTAATTTCTTGCACAAAGACAGCCTACAGCAGAAAAAAAAAATACACCCCACAAAAATCAACAAAGCTTGGGGTAGGAGCAGAATCTGATGATTTGAGTTATTAGGTTCAAAAGTTCTGCTTTTATCAATAAAAAAATCACAAAATGTACCAATAAATGGGAAAGTATGGCCTATTTTAAGGTAAAAAAGTAATCCAAGAGAAACCATCCTGAGAAGGACCAGCTGGCAAACTTGCTAGTCAAAGACATTAAAACAATTGTTTTAAATATGTTCAAAGAACTAAAGAACGATGTGGAGAAAGTCAAGAAAACAATGTATGAACAAAATTAAAATGTCAATAAAGAGATATAAAACATAAAAGTAATTATGAAACTTTGAAGTACAATTACCGCAATGAAAAAGTTGCTGGAGGGATTCAAAGTTAGATTTTAGCAGTAAGAAGAAAGAATGAGTGAACTCGAAGATAGGAAAATTGAAATTATTGAGTTTGAGGAACAGAAAGAAAAAGCACCGAAGAAAAGTGAACAGAGCCCAAAGGACTTGTAAGTTACCAGCAAGAAGACTAAAATACATATTGAAGTTCCAGAAGGAGAAGAGAGAGACAAAGGGGTAAAGAAATTTTTCAAAGACAGAATGACCAGAATTTGCCAAATTTGATGAAAGACATGGATATAAACATTCAAGAAGCTGCATTAACTCCAAGTCAGATAAACTCAGAGACCTATATTGACACATTATAATCAAACTATAAAATGCCAAGGACAAAGGGTAAAACTTGAAAGCTGAAGGAAAGAAGTAAAGTAGCATGTAAAAAAGGATTCTCAGAGAATGTCAGCAGATTTCTCCTCAGAAATTTTGGAGGGCAAAAAGCAGTGAGCCAATATATTTAAAGTACTATAAAAAAAAATGAAAGACTTTCAACCAAGAATCCTACATTCAGGATAACTGTCCTTCAAAAATGAGAGACATTAAAACATTCCCAGATAAGCAAAAACTGAGGCAGCTTATTACCACTAGATCTGCCCTACTAGGTACTATACGAAATCCTGTGAGTTGACATGAAAGGAGACTAAACAGTAAAACTTACAAAGGTGTATAAAGAAGTAAACATTCCAGTAAAGGTAAATACGTGGGTAATTATATAAGCTAGCATTATTTTAATATTGGTTTGTAATTTCACTTTTTGTATTCTACATTACTTAAGAGACTAATACATTTTTTAAAACTATTGTTAGTTTAAAAGTTAGTATTCTTGTAACTTTACTTTGTAACTCCACATTTGGTTTTCCATATAATTTAAAATAATAATACATAAGACATATTTATATTTTTGGAAACATGTAAAGATGTAATTTTGTGACATCAACAAATGAAAAGGGTCAGGATGAAGCTGTTTAGGAAAAGAGTTTCTGTATGTTATTGTAAGTTAAACTGGTGGAAACTCAAATTATAATGCTTTAACATTAGGATGTTAAATGTAATCCCCATGGTAACCACAAAGAATCTAGTTATAGAATATACGTCATGAACAAAAGGTAATGAGGAGGGAATGAAAAGCTTTCACTGCAAAAAAAATAGACTAAACACAAAAGAAAACAGTAACGTCAGAAATGAGATACAAAATTAATGTAACGCATAGGGAACATAAATAACAAAATAAAACAAGCCTCTCCTTTGTAATTACTTAAATGTAAAGTTGTTAAGCTCTCTAAATGAAAAGACAGAGATAAGCAGAATGGGTATAAAAACATACTCCAACTAGAATGGCGTGAACCCGGGAGGCGGAGCTTGCAGTGAGCCGAGATTGCGCCACTGCACTCCAGCCTGGGGAACAGAGCGAGACTCAGTCTCAAAAAACAAAAAACAAAAATACAAAAAAAAATTCCTCCAACTATATACTATCTACAAGTGACTCACTTAGATTTAGAGACACAAATATGTTAAAAATGAAATATTGAAAAAAGACTTTTCTTGCAAATAGTAAGCAGAAGAGAGCAGGGTTAACAATAATTAAGCCAGTCACAAAAAGACAAATACTGCATGATTTATGTGACTTATATGATTTATATGACTTATATGAGGTGCCTACAGTAGTCAAATTCACAGATAGAGAAAGTAGAATGGTAGTTGCCAGGGTCTGGGGCAAAGGGGTATGGGTAGTCATTCTTTAATGGGTAGAGAGTTTCAGTTTTTCAATGAAAGGACCTCTAAAGATGGATGATTTCGATGGTAGAAAAACAATATGAATATACTTGATATCACTAAACTGTACACTTAAGAATGATTACATTTAAAATTTTATTTTATATTTATTTTATTACAATAAAAATGTTATTTGAATAAAAATAGTATTTCAGTCTTATTTCATGCACAAAGGGCCACTTTACAGATGTATGATATTAGGATTTCATTGTATTTGACAAAAGACCCACTCAAATATATAATTTTTTAAAAATTATGCTATATTAAAGAATGAAGAATTTTGTAATATAATAATGCCTTTTTAAAATATGGAGTTTAGGAAATGTATTGACCCTGTAATTCAGCCTCTTTTATATCATTTGAATGCATCTGTTTATCTCAATCTTAAATGCCACTGCCTTAGTTCAAGTTCTAATTTCTTTCTTGAATTATTGAAAATGATCATAATATCTAATTTCCAGCCTTGATTTTTTGCTTATATCTCTTTCTACAATATCTACCCAATTATGCAGTTACCTTGTTTGAATATTTCTTTCCCTTCCTACTTGCTTTGAGGTAAAATAAAATATTTTACCTACAGGCAAAGACAGCCTTTAGAGTCTAACTGATCTGACTCTCCACTTTCTCTTCTCATTAGCCTCCTTCTTGCAATTTATGCTTAACATGTTACGTTGAATATCTCAAAGACACCATGCATTTTCATGCCTTGTATGACTTTAAATTGCAGATCTTCCTGGAATGCCCATTTTTTCCCCTTCATCTTGACAATTACTATTTTTCTTTCAAGAGTAGTTGAGCCATATCATTTACCATCCAAACCAGGGCAGTTTGGCAGTGAAAAATAATACAATTAATAATTATGTCAGGACAAAAAGGCATAATCCAGGATTTTCCCAGGGAAAGCAGCTGTATGGCGACATTATTTATAGAAACATTTTCATGACTTTTTGTTTAATCATACAGTGGTATCTTTCTTTTTGTCTTGTTATGTATGTCTTCTTGTTTAACAAACTATAATCTCAAACAGAGTGAAAACTTAAATACACCCTACTTACCCTAGGGACTGACACATACTGAGTATACAGTACACTTTTTAAAAAATTAGAGCTCTCTAGAAAGTGCCTGGAATATACTACTTCTATAGACACTTTGAGTTTATTTTCGTATTCTTTTGATTTGTGTAACGTCTGTTCTACTTACCTGCCTATATTCTAATTTACTAATATTAAGCTCAGAGTCACAGATGAATTTGCAACACGAAAAGCCTACCAGTTTCTATGGACCTGTTTTTAAGAAGCATAATGACATCTTCAATTTGAAGTAAAAATATGAAAAATATTTTTCAGAAGCCTGTAATAAAAACATTTCTAATTTATCTCAAAGGAATTTGGAACTGCCCTCACTGGTGTAAAATGTAAAATCCTTGACGATAATCAGTGCATTTCTCTGTATTTGGACATGCTTCCTGGATCCAAAGTCTTTGGTGACCAAAGTAAAAAAGAAGCAAAGACTGAAAGCAAAATCTTCTTAATAAAATAGGAATTTTGAAGTTTAATATGTAGTCCTATTATTTTAGAAATCGAGTGCCCAGGAAAAATCAGAAAGCATGTTTTCCTCTAAAAAGAGATGTGTATATCTTATCATTTGAGAACATAATTTTACTAGACAATTAAGAAATGAATGATAGTGCTTATCTTATTTTAAATGAGTAAACAGGGTTTCCGATCTAAAGAATGCTTCACTTAACTAAATGTGATAGTTTCTTTTGAACCCCTCCTTTAAGAGTATGTAGCAGAAATGTACTAAAAATTTTTACTCTGTATATCAGCTTCTCAGATTTAACACATTTGTTTTTATCTTATAGAGCTACATTGCTTTGAATTGGATGTCATTTGCTATCAGAACAAAGAAGACATAGAATTGGAGGATATTAAAAATCCAATGATTCCTTATAACTGTAGAGATAAAGCAGTTAGAAAATTCAAATTTGTCAAATTCTCAAATCAATCTTTATTTTCAAATGAAGCGGTTAACATATGAGGAAAGAATTTGCCTTCAATTGTAGTTGATCTGAAAATAACATAGCAGTTTTAAACATTAATTTATTATGTCACCTGAATTTATATTCGGCCAGTATTTATGTCTGAGTGTGGAAACGCTGAATTATGTACATAAGAACTAAAACTTTTACAGGGTGATTACACACGTTACATAAACCCTACCTGTTAAAATAAAATTTCCCTAAAATGAAAAATAAAATTTCAAGTGAAATAATGTGGATTTATTCTTCTGCAAGGAAAATAATTTATGCTTAAGATCTAAGGAATCTTTAATGTTCCAAATCTAAATAAT
Source organism: Homo sapiens (assembly GCF_000001405.40). Taxonomy (NCBI): domain Eukaryota; kingdom Metazoa; phylum Chordata; class Mammalia; order Primates; family Hominidae; genus Homo; species Homo sapiens. The sequence goes on from NC_000002.12 coordinate 51,908,688, forward strand.
ACAAGTCTTGATGTAAGTGGATGTATTCATAATGGCAACAGTCATACAAATAGAGATACAATGCTACTTTTAAAACCACTAAGTCTTAAAACCTATATCCACATAAAAATAAGTAAAATAACAAAGTTATAATGCTCACGTTTATTTTTATGATAACCATAACTTTTCACTTTGGGCAAATCTAAGGTGTGTGGGCTAGAGAGGTGATGTAGAACTATAGAGCAGGAAAGCTATCTGTTCCTGTGTCTTACCTTTTCTAGTTGTTTATCATTGAACTTTAGCTTCATCTGAAAAACAGACTGCATGGATGGTAACATTTGCTCTATCTCAGGCATTTCCTAATTACATCACATTCTTGTTGTAATTAGCTTGGATTATGTTCTACAAGCAAGGTCCATGGCAGAAAAAAAGAATATGCTTTCTGATGTAGATTAAAATATCTGCCCTCAATTTGGGTCACAATGTTATTCAGTAGACAGTGTTAGAAACATTCCAGCCCTAACTCCACCTTGCAGAAAGAGGGCTTAGTAGAGAATGGGAGGGCAGCAGATTTTGTTTCGTTTTGTTTTAATCTAGCAGGAGGTCATTAATTATTCCTCCACAGGTTCTTGTTCCTAGACAAAAGTGATGTTCCTGATTGATTATAGGTAGGACTTACACTCTGAAATGGTTTGGGGTTTTTTATGTTATTGCCTTTATTATTGTTACTGTTGTTTATTTCCTTTATTATTGTTGTTTTTCATAAATATGTAGGGAATTGTGCAGATTATGCAGTTTCATTTGATTTCTAATAGGGCTACTTTTGGGAAAGAAGATAATGTGTCTATTTTTTGTGTCTATAGACTCAGTGGATAACCACATTAGCAATGTAAACCTGCCCATAGAAAGGAAGTGAGAAAGAGAAGTGGTTTAACTTTTTCTCCTAGAACTCTTCATGGACCCCACAGTTATTCTTTTCTATCCATTACAAAAAGAAATTTTATTTACCATTGCTATTTTCAGAGAAGCTCCACCTGTTTCTATCCACCAGTATTGTAAATAGGTGAGAATCTCTGATATAATAAAAGAAAAATCTATCCACAGCTATCTGCATGAATGATATAGTATATATATATATAAATAATATATATACAATGTATAAATTATATGTGAAAGTGTTCTTTTAAAACTTTTTTTTATATTTTAAAGTATTTTCATCATGTTTTAAGGCACATAGCTATAAATAATTATTTTTTTTTTTTTGGAATTGCAGAAGATACGCTTTGGGTAGATAAATTCTAAAGATCTGGCAACATCAACACATTATTTTTGCCTGATACCCCCTTCTCCTAGTTTAATGTTTTTCTAGAATATGGGCTTAAGGATTCTTGAATTTCCTCTTTTATTGGAGCTGACAGAAGTCCAAGGATGCATAGAAAAATTTACTCTGAAAAAAATAGTTTTAGTGTATAAAAATCACTGAAACATACTGAGAACTTAGCGTGAATATCACCTTGACCACAAACAGAGAGGAGTCTTAATAGATTTCACAGAGTGGCTTGTTACATTAGTAGATATCAATGATCAAAACTGAAGGGTTTATTTTGCTTCAGTATGTTATGATCATCCAGGTTAAATTTTGTACAATATTATCGTCAATAAATACTTTGAGGACACTAATTGTGTTACACAATCTAAATCAAATTATCTATACCGTTAGTACATGGGAGTACATTATATAGTTGTGATTGATAGATAGCCTCTTTCATCCCAAAAGTTTCAGAATAATGGTTCTTTATCCAGAAATGAATGCATTAATTCTTACAGCATCTTTGCTGGTTTGAAAAGAAAATGTTAATACCATTATGCAAAAAATTATCTATGCATATTCAGAGAAAACAAATTGAGAGATGATAAATAATTTTACAAAGATCACACAGAATGTCAATAGTAATAACTGCTATGTATTCAGTGTGGTCTGTGTATCATTCACTTAAGCTATTTACACAGAGTATTACACTCAATGTTTAAGGGAGCCTTCATGTTAGGTACTATTATGTCCATTATAAAAGCGAGGAGGCCGGGTGCGGTGGCTCACGCCTGTAATCCCAGCACTTTGGGAGGCCGAGGCGGGCGGATCACAAGGTTAGGAGATTGAGACCATCCTGACTAACACAGTGAAACCCCACCTCTACTAAAAATTCAAAAAATTAGTCGGGCATGGTGGCGGGCGCCTGTAGTCCCAGCTACTCGGGAGGCTGAGGCAGGAGAATGGCGTGAACCCAGGAGGCGGAGCTTGCAGTGAGCTGAGATTGCTCCACTGAACTCCAGCCTGGGTGACAGAGCAAGACTCTGTCTCAAAAAAAAAAAAAAATAATAATAATAATAAATTAATTAATAAATAAATAATAAAAGTGAGGAAACTTTGAAGTAAGGAAATACAAAAAACTTTCGATTGACTTGTGAAACATAGCTTGTACTGTAGGGAAGACTTCAGCTCAGTGTTGCTAAATTTTATCAAATGCTCTTCCTCCTTAAAGATGAGATTTGTTATTATTTCACACTTTCTCTGACATTCCACTATAATATTATCTTTACTTTCATAACTTTAAAATGATATTTTTCTTAGTCTTCCATCTACATTGTCTCTTAATTTCCACATATTTTCTACCAACTTCAAAGGCTTCAGATGATGTCTTTTTACATGTTTCTGTGTTGTAAGAGTAGCAATTCTCCTACAAGATATAACAACCTGGATTTCTAAGTAGCAGAAGAATTCCAAATCCAGGTTTGAATCAGAGATGGCAAATTAATGAATTACTAGGAATAGAAATTAAATATTAGCTAATAAATGGACATCTAACCCTGAATGAAGCAGTTAATGACCCTCTTTCCTGATGATCTTTCTCCAAATAAAACCCCTACTTCAAATATTTAAAAAGTTACTATATTTTAATGTGTATAAGATTATAAATGTAAATTAAGATAAAAGGAAGCCAAGGGGGAAAGTGACATAAAATTGTTTTGACTCTTCATCAAATGACCACACACCCTATTAACACAACAAATATTTATGTGAGGCCTATGTCTACTGCACAGGTCATACTAAGGCTATCACTGGCACTACCACTAAGCAGGGATTTGATTAAAGATGAATTATTCATGCTAGATTTTGCTTTAGTTCTTAAATAGAGGTGATAGGTTTATGAAAACTCATTTTGTTATTAGGCTTTGTCCCATAGATATGCTACATATATACTCTTGCATTTATCAGATACTATGTTTAGCAATATATATTTATAAAAATGAATTATTCATTAACGCCTGAGGCCAGTCTATCACTTTATAAATGACAGTGGGGAAGCATAAAATGTCGAGTAAATAATTTAGATTGAAAACCTGAGCATTTCTTTCTAAGATACTCAGGAAAGTGAGAGTAATTTGAATAAAGAAGTTGTCTTTTTCTTCCTTGACTTGCACTCAGGCATGGAGGAGAGTCCAACCCATGACGATCTCTCTCTTCATGGCAGATATTTTATGATTAGAACGGTGAGGAAGGCTTGTGATGCTCAGTGCCCATCTTGGAATATCCTCTTCTATGGAAACAGGTTACATGATTTCCCTCTGCTTAAAATGCTATTCTCTCACCCTGTTGTTCTGGTCATAACCCATTAAACTCAAATCTTCCAATGACCCAAATACATTTATAGACCTGATATAAAAGGTGTTTTGTGTAAAGACTCTTCTCAGTAAGAACATTTCACGTTAAATTACGACTCAAGTAGATCTTCACTCATGAAGAAATTTGAAATAAAGCAGTTTAAGGACAGGAGAAGCAGAGACTGTGGACATACAGATGTGGCAGTCATCACAGCAGAAAAATTAAAAGAGCCAAGTTTATTTAGAGGCAGGTAGAGACAAAGATAAGATGGACCATGAGTGAGTCATCATTGGAATAGAAATAAATGGGAGCCCACTTTTGAAAGGACATCAACAGACTACAACTTGAGAACTTCCCATGCATCTCAGTGAGTTATAAGGTGCTCTGTTGCCAAGAACTCTTTAATCTCTTTTTCTGTCAGTTTGATTGTTTTAGATTTCACATATAAGTGAGATTGTGCAGCATATATGTGGCTGCTGCGGCACTGTCTTGGTGTTCACTAATAAATCTCTATCACCTATATTAACTTGGATGTGTTTCTGATCCTTGTAACCTAAAAGTACCAAACTAATACCACAGTTCATAGGACAAAAGACTTTCATATTTTGAAGAAACTACAGAGACAGATTATTTTACCAGTTCCATATTGAAAGCTTAAATTCCTTCCGTAATTTCTCATAAGTGTTCTTTCAACTACTTTGCCCATTCTGTGATGGCCAACTCCCTGCCTCTCAATTGCAGCAAAGTTCAAAAACTAAAAAGTTGGCCATTGTGGTGGCTCACACATGTAATCCCAGCACTTTGGGAGGCCGAGTGGGCGGATCATGAGGTCAGGAGATTGAGACCATCCTGGCTAACCCGGTGAAACCCTGTCTCTACTAAAAATACAAAAAATTAGCTGGGCGTGGTGGTGGGTCCCTGTAATCCCAGCTACTCTGGAGGCTAAGGCAGGAGAATCACTTGAACCTGGGAAGTTCAAGCCAGTACTAGCCAATGCAAAAACACACCAAAATATAAAGACCAATGACACTATGAAGAAACTGCATCAAATACTGTGCAAAATAACCAGATAGCATCAAGATGACATATCAAATTCAAGCATGAGAATACTAAACTTAAACGTAAATGCAAATGTCCTAATGAAAAGACACACACTGACAAATTGGATAAAGAGTCAATATGGTGTGCTGTATTCAGGAGACTCATCTCATGGGGAAAGGAACACATAGGCTCAAAATAAACGAATGAAGGAAAATTTGCCAAGCAAATGGAAAGCAAATAAATAAATAAATAAATAAAAGCAGGAGTTGCAATCCAAGTCTCTGACAAAATGGACTTTAAACCAACAAAGATCAAGAAAGACAAAGAAGGCCATTACATAATGGTAAACGGAACAATTGAACAAAAAGAGCTAACTATTCTAAATATTTATGCACTCAATACAGGACTACCCAGATTCATAAAACAAGTTCTTTTAGACATACAAATAGACTTACAGTCCCACACAATAATTGTGGGGGACTTTAACACCCCACTGTCAATATTAGACAGAACAACAAGTCAGATAATTAAGAGGGATATTCAGGACTTGAACTCAGATGTGGATCAAGTAGACCTAATAGACATATACAGAACCCTCCACCCCAAATCAACAAATATACATTCTTCTCAGTGCCACGTGGCACTTATTCTAAAATTGAACACATATTTGGAAGTAAAACACTCCTCAGCAAATGCAAAAGAACTGAAATAATAACAGTCTCTCAGACAACAGTGCAATCAAATTAGAACTCAAGATGAAGAAACTCACTCAAAACCACATAATTAAGTGAAAATTGAACAATCTGCTCCCAAAAGACTCCTGGGTAAACAATGAAATTAAGGCAGAAACCAAGAAGTTCTTTGAAACCAATGAGAAAAAAGAGACAACATACCAGAATCTGTGGGACATGGCTAAAGCAGTGTTTAGAGGAAAATTTATAGCACTAAATGCCCACATCAGAAAGTTAGAAAGATCTTAAACTGACACCCTAACATCACAATTAAAAGAGCTAGAGAGGCAGGAGGAAACTAATCCAAAAGCTAGTAGAAGACAATAAATAACTAAGATCACAGCAGAACTGAAGGAGATAGAGACACAAAAATCCTCCAAAAAATCAATGAATCTAGGAGCTGATTTTTTGAAAAAATAAAATAGGTAGATGGCTAACTAGACTAATGAAGAAGAAAAGAGAAGAATTAAATAGACACAATAAAAAATGATAAAGAGGATATCACCACTGACCCCACAGAAATACAAACTTCCATCAGAGCATACTATAAACGTCTTTGTGCAAATAAACTAGAAAATCTAGAAGAAATGGATGAATTTCTGGACGTATACACCCTCTCAAGACTAAATTAGGAAGAAGTCAAGTCCTTGAATAGACCAATAACAAGTTCTGAAATTGAGGCAGTAATTAATAGCTTACCAACCAAAAAAAAAAGCCCAGGATCAGACAAATTCACAGCCGAATTCTACAAGAGGTACAAAGAGGAGCGGGTACCATTCCTTCTGAAACTATTCCAAACAATTGAAAAGGAAGGACTCCTCCCTACTCATTTTATGAAGCCAGCATCATCCTGATACCAAAACTGGGAAGAGACATAACAAAAAAAGAAAACTTCAGGCCAACATCGCTGATGAACATCAATGTGAAAATTCCCAATAAAATACTGGCAAACTGAATCCAGCAGCGTTTCAGACAACTTATCCACCACAAGCAAGTTGCCGTCATCCCTGGGATGCAAGGCTGGTTCAACATACGCAAATCAATAAATGTAATCCATCACATAAACAGAACCAAAGACAAAAAACAACATGATTATCTCAATAGATGCAGAAAAGACCTTCAATGAAATTCAACATCCCTTCTTGTTAAAAACTCTCAATAAACTAGGTATTGATGGAACATATTTCAAAATAATAAGAGCTATTTATGACAAACCCACAGCCAATATCATATTGAAAGGGCAAAAGCTAGAAGCTTTCCCTTTGAAAACTAGTACAGGGAAGGACTCCCTCTCTCACCATTTCTATTCAACATACTATTGGAAGTTATGGCCAGGACAATTAGGCAAGAGAAAGAAAGAAAAGGTATTCAAATAGGAAAAGAGGAAGTAAAATATAAAACAACATGATTTTATATTTGGAAAACTCCAGTCTCTCATCCCAAAAACTCTTTAATCAAATAAGTGACTTCAGCAAAGAGTCAGGTTACAAAATCAATGTGTAAAATCACAAACATTCCTTTACACCAACAACAGACAAGCAGAGAGTCAAATCATGAATGAACTCCCATTTACAATTGCTACAAAGAGAATAAAATACCTAAAAATACAGCTTACAGAGGATGTGAAGGACTTCTTCAAGGAAAACTATAAACCACTGCTCAAGGAAATAAGAGAGGACACAAACAAATGAAAACATATTTCATCTTCATGGATAGGAAGAATCAATATTGTGAAAATGGCCATACTGCCCAAAGTAATTTATAGATTCAATGCTATTCCCATCAAACTATCATTGACATTCTTCACAGAATTAGAAAAAACTACTTTACATTTCATATGGAATCAAAGAAGAACCCATATAGTCAAGATAATCCTAAGCAGAAGGAACAAAGCCGGAGGCATCACGCTACCTGACTTCAAACTATACTACAAGGCTACAGTAACCAAAACAGCATGGTACTGATAACAAAACAGACATATGGACCAATGGAACAGAAGAGAGACCTCAGAAATAACACCACACATCTACAACCATCTGATCTTTGACAAACCTGACAAAAACAAGCAATGGGGAAAGCATTCCCCATTTAGTAAATGTTGGGAAAACTGGCTAGACATATGCAGAAAACTGAAACTGGACCCCTTCCTTACACCTTATACAAAAATTAACTCAAGATGGATTAAAGACTTAAACATAAGACCTAAAACCGTAAAAACCTTAGAAGAAAACATAGGCAACACCATTCAGGACATAGGCATGGGCAAAGACTTCATGACAAAAACAGCAAAGCAATGGCAACAAAAGCCAAAATTGACAAATGAGATCTAGTTAAACTAAAGAAGTTTCACATAGCAAAAGAAACTATCATCAGAGTGAACAGGCAACCTACAGAATGGGAGAAAATTCTTGCAATCTACCCATCTGACAAAGGTCTAATATCCAGAATTTACAAGGAACTTAAAGAAATTTATAAGAAAAAAACAACCCCATTAAAGAGTAGGCAAAGGAGATGAACAGACACTTCTCAGAAGAACACATTTATGTGGCCAACAAACATAGGAAGAAAATGTGATACATATACATCACTGATAATTAGACACATGCAAATAAAAACCACAATGAGATATGATCTCACTCCAGTCAGAATGGCAGTTATTAAAAAGTCAAGAAACAACAGATGCTGGCTAGGCTGTAGAGAAATAGAAACACTTTTACACTGTTGGTGGGAATGTAAATTAGTTCAACCATTGTAGAAGACAGTATGCAATTCCTCAAGGATCTAGAAACAGAAATACCGTGTGACCCAGCAATGCCATTACTGGGTATATCCCAAAGGAATATAAATCGTTCTACTACAAAAACACATGCACACATATGTTTATTGCAGCACTATTTACAGCAGCAAAGTCATGGAACCAGCTCAAGTGCCCATCAATGATAGATGGGATAAAGAAAATGTGATACATGTACACCATGGAATACTATGCAGCCAGAAAAAGGAAAGAAATCATGTCCTTTGCAGGGACACAGATGAAGCTGGAAGCCATCATCCTCAGCAAAGTAACACAGGAATAGAAAACCAAAGACTACATGTTCTCACTCATAAGTGGGAATTGAACAATGAGAACACATAGACACAGGGAGGGGAACAACACATACCAGGGTCTGTTGGGGGCTGGGGAATGAGGGGACAGAACTTAGAGGATGGGTCAATAGGTGCAGCAAACCACCATGGCACACGTATGCCTATGTAACAAACCTGCACATTCTGCACATGTATCCTGGAACTTAATGAAAAATAAAAAGTAACTGAGAAAAAAATCTTCTCTTATAGAATATTTTGAAAATTTATATGAATAATAGCATTATCATCAGTTTTCTAAAAGCAAGCAAAACCAAAATGACTCTGCAAAGTAAAATATTACTATATATAAAAGAAAGAGCACCATTTGAGCTGAGAAATATTTAACTACAAGATATTCTCCTGAAAAGTGGCAAGTGTAGTTAATAATCATCAGTACTACCAAGAAGCATTGATCAAACATTTACTGAAGCATAAAACTGTTTATGACATGTACAGTATCACTACTTCTTCCATGAAAGAGAAATTTTTTTGGTCCTGGAAGAAAGAATTATCATCCTTTAATTCTTTCCCATGGGACAAAGAACAGAAAATAGATAATCTTCCTCAGAGCAAAAAAAATACTGAAATGTATTGAAGCTTTCTGCAACTACAGGGATTAGAGAAAGTCTTCTGAAAACAAGACTGCAAAAAATAAGGAGACCCATTAGCTATTCTTTATGTTCTTATATAAAATACATAGACTTCAACTAAAAATTCTATTGCACATTCTTACATAGTAAAGTTGAGCCAATTGTCTGTTGTCTGAGGTTAAAAAGTTGAAACCAGAAACACAGATTGCATATTTCCATATTTGCCCAATTGTCTTAGAGTAGTTGAGAAGAACTTTTTTTAGATACTATGCAAAATACTTTACAATAACATTTATAATACTCCTGCAAGATATTATTAGCTTGCCCTGTAATAAAACACCAAAAAGTGAATTCGTATGTTCAAAGGCACAGAAGTAGTAAGTGGCAGAACTTAAATGGGAACTTGCATAAGACATGTTGTAAATCCTGTGTGGTTACCACTTTCCTACAATAAAAAAAAGTGTGAGTAAGAAGCTTTTATAATTTGGAAGTTGCAACATGAAAGCCAGAAACACTGTGACCAAATGCCTTTCAAATTTCACATAGGACATCTGACTGGAGCATGCGAGTCTGAAAACAAGACGTTTTGCTATCCAGACTCTGGATATCATTAAAATGAAATCCAAGTTGATGCTAACCAGCAGTCCACCAAATCCACTAAATTTTCTCATCAGTTTCTTTCAACAGCATATATTAGGTTGATTCAGAAATAATTGTGGTTTTTGCCATTGAAAATAAAGGCAGAACTGTGATTACTTTTGCCCCAAACTAATAGAACAAAAATCAGTGTCACTCACGTTATACAAAGTAAAAATATTCAAAATATTAATAACAATAAAAAATAGAATTATATGGATGTGAAAATATTTATACAATATATGATTACCTGAGAAGAAAGAAAATGGCATTGATAATAAAAACCTTAATTTTGGGGAAAAAAAGTTTATACATAAGTATGTTGTATTAATACAAAAGTCTTAGACATTCCCATATAGAATGCTAACACTGATAACTCTGAGGAATGATGGGTGAGACAGATATTTTTACTTATAGCTCATATTTCAAAAATGCAAACACCAATAAAATCACTTAAATAAATTTGTATTTTATAAAGCCCTCTTGGACAATTTGGTACACTTTCCGTTGTGATGCTACAGAAAAAGAATCAATGTTTTTCACTTTTTATTTTTTACCTCTTGATGAGAAAGTCTTTAAAATTAAAAAGAATTTAAATTGAAAATAGGAATGGGAAAACTAAAACCATACTGAATTAATTAGATCACTTGACATCCCAGAAGACAGCTTTTAAAGGTCTTTTTCAAGATAATTTAGGATGTGGCAAGATTTAGAATCACAAATTTGGTAGTGGTGATTTTTGACAATTGTTAAATTTAGAGTCATATTTATGTCGATCATTTTTATTCAAAAAAGGAGACTATTATTATTATAATTCTTTCTTTCCTGTAACTCATATAGCTTTGCATATATAATTTATGCAATTTAGTATCTTGTCTGTAGTTTTTACAACAGCTTATTGAGAAGCTATGTAGATTAGGAAAAGATGTAAGATAATCATGTGCCATCTATACCAATTTTTGTTCTTTTTTTAAATCCTTAATTGTTTCAACTAAGAAAAGAAGCTATTAAATTGTCATATGTTTTTTACAATGAATTTAAAGAGTAAAGTACATTTAATAATAGAATTCATATTTGGCTACACTCAGTGTAACATTCTCATTGTATGATTCATTTAAAATGTTGCAACAGTGCATTCATATTAGAGACATTTTCATTCAGTTGGAAGTTATGATGACTAATTTATTAGGTAATGACATTCAGATATTTTAGAAAAACCTTTATACACTTTTGCGTCTTCTCAAAAGTTAGCTTTTGGTTACTCTGTTTTCAAGTCTGGCTAAACTTAAGCATATCACTAAAATGTGATATATGGAATTTGAAATAATAGTCATGATGGTATCTTTCTTCATAACTATATTAAATTCATTTCCTTTTTAGAGTAATTTTTAACTATATAGTGTTTTCTTTAATATTTTTATTAAATGTTGTGACTATTATATGATAGATAATAAAAATGAAAGAGGAAAAAACACTCTCAAGTCATTTGAATCCTAAAAATTTCACTGAGATAGCAGGCCCTCAAATTTTGGGTGGTTTTGTCTCCTACTCTTTGCCCGTAATTGTCTTCCCAATATGTCTGTCTTGAGTAAATTTCAACTTCCTTCTCAATTGGTCCATTGGTGTGATATAATCAATAACATGGGCCAGCATTATATCCTGTTTAGGGGAAAGGCAAGTCCCTGCTATGTACACATGACATAGAGCTGGAAAGGATATATTCCCCCTAATTAATACTGTGAATGTATATTGCAGGTCTTATCTTTTGAAAGCAAGTTGCTCCACTTGCTCTTCATTATCAAATACCTAGAAAGCTAAAGCATTTGCCAGATCAATAGCCATATACTAGAGAATTTGTTGATTTTTCCCCAAGAAAACTATAATTTGAATAACAGTTGCAATTGGAATAACGATTTGATTTTTTATAACTCTGTACTTTTTTCCTTGATCCATTTATTCTTTGCCAAGGCCAAAAGATTAGTTAAAGGGGATATAGTAAAAGTCATCATCTCTGCATCTTCCAAATGCTTAATGGTAGGAGGCAGCATTACTGGTAGTCTATTTTGCTCCAGGGATGCAGCATTACTTTTCATCTACTTCACTGATAAATGCACTTTTAGTGGTTTGCATTTGGCTTCTCCTACCGTAATCATCCTCATTTCATGGGTCAAAGAAATAGTGTGAGAATTCTGCCATTGCCGAATATGTTTATTTAAATTGTATAATCTGGAATTGAAGAAATAACCACAGGGCGATTTTGTCCAACCACTATGTACACAGTGAAACAAAACGAAGCCAAAGTTCCACTGATTATCTGTGCCATCTATACCCTGTGGGACCACAGTGAAGATTTTTGTCCCTAGATATTTGGGTCAAAGTGTTTAGTTACCGTCTTTGGTTACTCTCCCTACTTCTGAATTCTTCCCCTTCTGAATGCACAGTCACCTCGGGAAGATTAACAGTATACATTTCCTCAAGGTGACTGAACTTCATTCAAGGGGCTCAGGGTCTGTGAACTGACTCTGTTCTTAACTTTGTGGAGGACCTATGACTTTCTATTTTGGTAGTTAAAGTCAGACTTCTGTTCTCTAGCCCTAGAGCTCTTCTGCTTATATAAATCAAGTAAGACTTCAGTAGGCTGTCTATCTACTTTAGTCATAAAGATATGATCAGATACCTAATGCCTAAGATACCTGCAAGTCATACTATTCTAATATGACTTTGCTCCACTCCCTATTATAATAAACACTCCATTACAGTAACTACATCTACCTTTTCTTGGAAGATTGACAACACTTGGTCCCTACTTCCCTGGGATGCTATTATTTCCATTGAACTTACAGATCTCAGTTTGATGCCATCAATCCCCCTGTCATTCTGATCTATACAGAAAGAAAGAAGAAGAAGAAAAAGAACAGGGGTTGGGTGGGGAGAAAGAAAGAAAGCTCTTCTAACATTATGGAGCTCCTCTTATAAATTTATTTCTTGCAGCTGTGATTAAAAGAGTGTCTTCTAGAATCTATGCAATGTGTAAGCAGGTCTTACATAATACATCCACTCTATTATTTCAATCTCCATATGCTTTTGGATAGTTTCCTTTGTAGTACACTAAGAAAATTTTGGTATTTAATCTTTACTTAATATAGGCCAACTCTGGGTCTATATTTCAGTCAACCAAAAAGCATATTGTTAGGACCATGCCTATCTATTTGTTCTAAAATGCTGTATCTAAAATCCTTGCTTAGTAAACCCATACAAACAAATTTGGTATAATCCAAATTCATATTCTTCTATTTGATCCCTTGATTGTAAGATGTATTTCTACATGATTCTCTAGATTTCTGTCATGTAAATCAGCAAAATAAAACAATTATTTGGCTGGCTATTACATCTCCTTATGGGTCACATTTTATATATTGCCCTTTTGGGCCTGCTAGGGGATGAGTCTGGTTATACAGGCCTAGAAGCAAGGAGAGATTGTAGAGTAGGTCCTGATGAGAATTAGGCAGTGCCTTGCAAGAGAGGTATTAATATTTTAGGAGAGACCATTATAGGTTTTTCAGGAGGGGAACGCTAACCTTCCCAGACAGGGGTGGAAGAGCTGCTTCAACTAGCAAAGATGGCTTGGTGGACATTACAGACTTAAGGCCTCAGCTTTATAAGAATCTGCCATATTTGCAGTGCCTAGGTAACTCACAGGGAATAAGTTAATTCCCCTGGAAACTTGTATTAATGTTTTTAGGCATCATTAATTTTATTTTCCAGAGAGTTATTAACAAGGACTGCACTGTTTTATTGACATGGCAAGTTACTCATCAAAAATGATCAGATTCAATGCAACTATTAGATGTTTCCCACACATAATTAGACTCCAGATTTCTATATAGTATATATAATTCCATAGTGAGTAAAATTAGTGAAAAATATTTATTTTCTATTCTTGAATCTAGATAGTAAAACTATTACTACATTTACTATAAGATGATAGAATTTAAGTATTCAAGGGATAGTAATTTGGTTAATTTTTTAGGATAAAATAAAATAATCTATATAAATATACAAATTTCAATTTTTAAATATATTTATCTTAAAAAGATTGAAAAATGAGATTCTAATTACATTGAAATTATGGGACACAATCACCTGTACAATATCCCCCTTAAATAATTTCCAAAAAGGCATGTTTGTGTCTAAGGCAAAATTCTAGCCTTATCCTGATTACCTCAGAAATACAAAAAAAAAAAAAAAAAAAATACTAGGAAAGTCTCATCATAAAATCAAGAACTTATAATACAAAATAGTTTTTAATAGAACATATTTAATTTCCAACTCTATACACTTAAATAAATTCTATTAAACCAGTTCTGTTCTTTAACTCTTGTTGTCACTCAGTGAAAAGTGCTTTCTTCTTAGGCTGGTATTGATGTTAGTTAGGACATGTCCTGTGAACAGTAGCTAAGGTACCGTAAGGCTGTTCACTAAGATTCAAGGTCTGGGCGTTAGTTATATTTCAGGAAATTTTGGAATTCCCTGAAGTATTAAGGAGCTTTTGTCTCTAGTAATGACTTAGAACTTTTGAAAAAAATTCAGTCACTGAAAAAGTAACTATATTAGTATAGTAGTAATATAAACTGCATATTCATATGTACAGTATATGTACACATATATAGTAGTATAAAAGTAATATGATAGTGTTCTTTTGTTAGTAAGATTAATGAAGACATTTCTTAAATAGAAACTTTGTCACTATTTTTAAAAAGGGTCTTTTGGAAAAAAAGTTTTATTATTTTCTAAGGGAGAATGTTTATTTCATTTTTTAAAAAAGCTTTATACATACCATACAATTCACCCACTTAAAGCATACAATTCAGTGGCTTTTAGCATATACACAGATTTGTGCAACCACCACCACAGTCACTTTTAGAACATTTTCATTATCCCAAAATAGCTTTTCTTTTAGTAAGAGTCTGCTGGTGACAGAATCCTTGGCTTTGTTTGTCCAAAAACATCTTATAAGATATTTTTCCCTGTGTATGCAATTGTAAGTTGACAATTTTCTTTCATTCCAGTTAACACTGATTGTAGCTGAGACATCTGCTGCTGTGTTGCTCCTTCAAAGGTGATGTGTCTTTTCTCTCTAATTTTAAGATCTTTTCTTGGTCTTTGTGTTCTGCAATTTTATTACAATGTGACTAGGTATGTGATAATTTTAAAATAAGTCTACAAATTCTTAGACAGCCCTTTCTTCATGAAATGGAACCTAATTCTTCTCCCTCTGAGTGTGGGCTGAACCTAGTGACTTCATTCTAACAACAGAATTTGGCAAAATATTACTTCCAAAACCAGGCCAATGTTCTTTTCTGCTTTCTCACTTGGATTGCCACTCTGGGAAAGACAGCTGTCAGGTCATGAGCACACTCAAGCGAGCCCTGTGGAGGGGTCCATGTGGCAAGGCACAGAGGCCTCCAATAAACAGACATATGTGTGAGCCATCTCGGAAGCAGATACTCCAGCCCCAGTCCAGCCTTCAGATGACTACAATCTCACAAGTGACCCCAAGCTAGACCTACTAAGCTAAGCAACTAGTGATTCCTGTCCCACAGCAACTGTAAGATATTAATAAGTATGTGTTATTTTAAGCCTCTGAGTTCTGGGTAATTTGTATATAGAAATTGATTAATGCAAGGTGTAAAAATGTTTAAATAAGTTTGCTTATTGAGCTAGAATAAACATAAAAAGAGTGCATAAAATATGTGATATGGTTTGGATATATGTCCCCTCCAAATCTTGTGTGGAAATATAATCCCCAATGTTGGAGGCTGGGCTTAGTGGGAGGTGTTTGGGTAATGGGGATAGATCCTTTGTGAATGTCTTGGTACCATCCCCTTGGTGATAAGTGAGTTCTCACTTTTTCAGTTCATCTGAGAGCTAGTTGTTGAAAAGAGCCTGACCTCCTGCTCACTCTTTCTTTCTCCCTCTCTCTCCATGTGATACACCTGTTTCCCCTTCATCTTCCACCATAAGTAGAAGCTTCCTGAGACCTAACCAGAAGCCAAGCATAGGCTGGTGTTATCCTTGTACAGCGTGAAGAACCATAAGCCAAATAAACCTCTTTTCTTTATAAATTACCCAGTCTCATCTATTCCTTTATGGCAACACAAAATGGACTAATACAATATGTATACAGTTCAATAAATATTCATAAAGTAAAAATATCTAATTGATCACCACCCAGATCAAGAAACAGAACAACTGGATATATATTTCTTTCTTTTTAGTAACCTGCTTGAGATTTGCTTGCCTTCTTGAATCTGTGGATTGATTTTCAAAAGTTCTGGAAGATTCTCAGACATTGTCTTTTAATATTGTCTCTGCTCCATTTTTACTCTCTTTTTTTTCTCCTAGAACTTCACTCATGGGTTATGTTGAATCTTCTCATTCTATGCTCCATATCCCTCAGCCTCTTGCTTTATATTATTGATCTGTTAATCTCGCTAGGCTGCATTTTGGAAAACTTCTTCAGACCTAGTTTCCTATTTATCAATTGTTTCTGCAGCTTTGTCTAATTCACATATACAAGGCTTTTCATTGCTATAATACTGTAGTCACTCCTTATCCATGAGGGATATGTTCCAAGACCCCCAGTGGATGCCTGAAACTGTGAGTAGTAGCAACTCCTGCATATAAAATGTTTTCTCCCATGCATACAGAACTATGATAAAGTTTAATTTATAAATTAGGCAAAGTAATAAACAATAATGACTACTGATAAAATGAAACAATTATTAACATATACCAAAATAAGAGTTATTTGAATGTGGTCTCTCTCTCAAAATATCATATTGTATATAATATTTTCAGACTGCAGTTGACTGCAGGTAACTGAAACCACAGAAAGTGAAACTGTGGATGAGGGGAGACTCTGCATTTTACATTTCCAGAACATCACTTTGGTTCTTTTGTAAATCTGCTTCTATTTCCACATCTTAGTTCTTAAATCATTTTAAAATATTTAAAATATATGACTGATAATTCTGATGTCTGAAGTCTTTGCAAGTCTGATTCTACCAGGTTATTTTTTATGTCCTTTGTTCTTGATGCTGTATTCCTTCCTGTCTGGAAAGTTTTCCATTTTTCCTTTTATAATTTGAAGCTCTTGACTCATAATTTATTGCCCTCTTCTTTTGTTCTTTTGTTGCTCATTTCCCACAATGCCATCCTCCTACATAGGGTCAGGGTCCTAGTTGCACTGGTGGGAGGAGTAGGTGCTATGCTCCTTGTATTCATTGGTGGTTAGGAAGCACAGCATAGACTGGCCCAGGTCATGTTTGGAAATGACCTTCCAGGGCCTTCATTAATCCTGGGTCATTGAGTAGGTCCTAAGCTACTCATTTTTCTTGAAACCCTATCAGTGAGAATTATTTGAAAACTAAGATGAATAAGTTCATCCAATGCCACAGACAAACATTCTGCCTCTAGCAGCAATCTCAGGAGATGCAAAGAGCCTTTTCATCCTTTATTCCTAGGAAAGGAAGCCCAGCTCCAGTCCTGCCAACTGTGCAGAGGGAGCCTGGCTCCAGTCCTGACAACTCTGGGCATGTTTGCTTCCAGTCCATTGTAGGAGTCAGAGTCCCAGCCTTGTCTCACTGCTCAGTGCTCAATGAAGCTCTGACTGGTGCAATAGAGGGAGGGGCTGCCTGGGGCTAGGCAGAGTGAGGAAAAGCAGTGCCAGGGGCCTCAAATCTTAAGTGGCCTCAAATTGGGGCTTGGCAAGGCCCAGTGTTCCTTCTTTTTCTTATACTGTGTACGACTCCACACAGAACCAGGATGGGAGCCTCTTCAGCTGTCCTTCAGACTACTGAAAAGCCTAGACCTGGGGGAAGTCTTAAAAGAACTCTCATACCCTGTCTCTATCACCCAAGGGTTTTGAGATGACCACCACTGACCATGGACTGGACCAGAACTTGGACCCAGAAGGTCAGCCCTGTGTCTTCCCCACCCCTCCAGCTTCAACATGGCAAGCCCTAAACAGGGATTATTCGTAGTAAGCACCACCTCTGAAGCCACCCTGTCTTGGAGCCCAAACCCACAGCACTGCTTGACCTAGGAAATATTTCACAGATTTCTGCCAGATGGGGGAGTTTACTTGTGTTTATTTCTAGAGATTAAAAAAAGTTCAAATACATATGTACAGACAAAGGCACATTCAGAGAGTTGTTGCTGGCTCTCCTCACTGCCCCTCCCCAAGAACAGCAGAGACCACGCAGGAGACAAGAAGGTGACTTCACTGGAAATTTCAGACATTAGGGAGCAGGGAGTCACTGCTCAGAAGCCAAACTGGAGGTGACAGCAACCCAGCCCCCATCTCTGCCCAAGACCATCCACCTACAGGACATTCCTAATGGGAGCAAGACAGAGACAGGGCACACTTCAGTTGTCACAGGCCTCTTGTTCAGTGGTGGCTTCCCCTGTAGAGACTAGGCTGTCATTTGGGCCTTTTAGCCTCCCACGGATCAGCTCGGCAATGGCCCTCCAAGTCTTTTTGTTTAGTTTCTCCAGGTTCTTGCCCGCATCTCTCTTAGGTCCCAATCAGGCTTCTAGAGTACAAGGTTGGCCAGGTCCGTCTCCTCAATGACAGGCTGTGCCTTGGCTGCCTACAGCTTCTCCTTCATCTTCTCCTCCACTGCAACTGGTTTGGCCTGGAAACCCTCCTCCTTTTCAGGTCCTCATCCTCTGGGACATGGTTCTGCAGCCTGAATTCCCTGAGCTTCTTGCTTTCCTCCTCCTCTTCTCTGAGCTGCTTGGTCTTTGGCTCCCCATTTTCCTTGTCTCTGTACCTGGTTTTCTCTAGGGCCTTCAGCTGTTCTTTTGCCACAGAGTGTCTTCTAGCCAGTCCAGGTCCACAGCCGCCTTCTGCTGCCTTTTGCTGCCTTCCTTCCACCATCGCCATCTTGCCCACACACCCCTCGTTTTCTCTCATCCTGTATTACCCAGGCCCAAGGAGAGTAGACAAACAAAGTGCTATTATTTTTTATTTATTTATTTATTTTATTTTATTTATTTATTTTTTTGAGACGGAGTCTTGCTCAGTCACCCAGGCTGGAGTGCAGTGGCATGATCCTGGCTCACCTCAACCTCTACCTCCCAGGTTCAAGCGATTCTCCTGCCTCAGCCTCCCAAGTAGCTGGAATTATAGGCACATGCCACCACGGCCGGCTAATTTTTGTATTTTTAGTAGAGACATGGTCTCCCTATGTTGGCAGGCTAGTCTTGAACCTCTGACCTCAAGTGACCACCCGCCTCGGCCTCCCAAAGTGCTGGGATTACAGGTGTGAGCCACCATGCCCAACCACAAAGGGCTATTTTTAAAGTTACATTTTGCACCTTGTTCATGAAGAACATTACAAAAAAACAAATGGCTAGCGAACTCTCCCTTAACACTTCAATCCCTTTTTATTATATTCTACATTTCTCAATGTCAATTCAATTAGGAGGAAGAATTATGACTCCATTTTAAAGAATCAATGAGAAGACATGTTTTAATGAATAAATATAGTAAAAAAATATGATGTTTAAAACAACCTTGTAACTAAGATGTTAAATAGTTCTTTTGAATTGGCAGAACTTGAGAATAGAGTTAAGGACTTTAGGAATTTAGAAATTAAATGGAAATATTACCTGGTCCAAACCAATTGTTTTAAAGATATGATTAACTTTCAGCTAAACCTCTTTTTTCTTTATGCTTCCAAACCTTTAGACCAAGGTTTTGCAAACTATAGCCCACACACCAGCTGTCTGTATTTCTAAGTAAAATTTTGTTGGCATATATCCACACCCATTTGTTTAAATATGTCTGCTTTGGCACTACAAGGGCAGAGTTAAAAAATCTTGACAGAGAACTTATGGTCTACAAAGCCTGAAATATGTTTCTTACCTTTCAAGAAAACATTATTAGATCCCTGTTCTAGATTCAAGGTTTGCTGGGCTTTTGTATTTAGATAAGTAGTCATCACCAGAGATCACCACTACTAACTTCACTAGTATTTCAAACCAATACCAGCAATCTTTAGTATGCTTATTCTAAAACTATCTGGTCTAAGATATCTCAGCTTGCATTATAACAAAGGATTCATAACTAGTCTTAATGAAATTCTATATGTGTTAAGTGTTTTATAATTTTTTTATTTCTCTATGAAAGAAGTGTTAACATCAAACTATAATAATTAGATGTTAAATTTTGTTTATTGGTCACATCATTATAAAACTGTTTGAACAAGCGTTCAAGATTTTTCTTGGAAAGTTGAGAAGCTTAAGTATTTCCAAGGTAATTATATGCATTATTAGTATTTATTGACAAATCTCTTTTTTAGCATATATTGTACAACACAGACCTATGAACAGCCTTCTAAAATGTTTTCAAATTTGACTTCCGCTAAAGAAAATTTCCTATAATCACTTTGTTATTTTTCTTCCAAGGATCTTAGAAAGTTGCATATATTCATATGAGTCCTTTGTTATACTTCAGTTTCTTTGTATTAGTTAAGTGTGTTTGTTTTCACATGAAATCAGGGGTACACAGACTAGGCTGTATGGTTAAGGTCAAATAGCAATACGTAGTAGAGCTTAGAACAGGTTAGCTTTATAATTTTTTCAAATGATAACATCCGTTTTGTCAATACAATTCTCATTTTTTCAGATGTGCATAATAAAGGTAAAATTTAGTATTTTCGAGTACAAATTGACATTGTCAAGAATATAAATTAATGTTATAGCTAGAGTTTTATAGCAACTCATCTTTTACTGTATCCTAATGTTTTTGCAATCTTTTTTTCCTAGAATTATGTCACAGCTAATAAATTGACTTGCGGCAGAATTCATAGCATAAAGCCATTTACCCTGTCACAAATGACAATGAATTCCTAAATCAACAGTCCTTAAACTCAATTCAGAAAATAGACTAATGAAAGTAAAGTCATTACAAGATGAGCCATTAAGTTAAAGCATTAGAATAATCTCACCTACTTCTGGTTTTTTGAAGATTCAAGTCCACATGTGTAAATGGACATTTTGCTTCCCAGGCCACAAATATGAAATGGTGCATAAGAAACTGCCTCACTGGGTTAGATCAGGATTTAGCTTTTCTAATAATATCACTAGCAGAATGTGGGGCAGAAAAGTTGCCATTTAGAATGGTGATTCAAAAGATCAAAAGCGGAAATGATTATTTAAAACTCTCAATCTGTTGGAATTTTGAGTCAGAACAGGTCTTGTGAATATAAGTTCCATGTGTTTACTACCTACAGTGAAAAATACGTGGTTACTCTATAGAGTTACAAAACCACTGCTTTAAATTCTAGGAGGTCCCCTCTAATATTATGGGCTTAATAAAAAAAATAGATGTTTACTCTACCCTTTCATTCATTTTTCATATTTCAGAGCTAAAATTCCATTTGGAGATGCTCAAATTAGTTCCTCTTATTTTTCAGAGAAAACTTAGTCCCATAGAAGTCAGTGACTTTGTCTAAGTATCAGAGAATAGTGATATATTTGTTCTCTACTGAAATATTCTTATAACTCTTAAGCCTGCCTACTCGTGTTTCAAATTGCTTCTCAAGGATTTCCTTGAGTTATAATTTATTCAATAACAAATAAGTGTTGAAAATGTAGTAGTTGCTTTTATGGAGTTTATGTTTTAGGAAGGAATAACAAAGAATAAACTATAAAACTAACAAATAATATAAATTATATATGTATAATACACATAATTGTATAGTATGTATATATAGTATGTAAAGAAACATATATATGTAACTTGTATATTATATAAAGAGATGATAAATTCTATGCAAGAACTGCTATAGGGTAAAGAATATGTACAATTGATTAGGTTGATGCAAATGCAATTGCGGTTTTTGTCATTGCTTTCAATGACAAGAACCACAATTAATTTTGCACCAGCCTAATAAAATGAGAGTATGCTTTATTGGCAAAATGAGAAAATATTTTTCTTGAGAAAATGCGTTGCTTTAGAAAATACATGGAGAAGTTGAGACAATTAGAAATGCAGGTATTTATGCCACAATGCAAGGTGATGGGGGGAGGCATTTAGCTCCTTGGAGCATTAGCAAGGAAGCCAGTATGGCTGGAGTGAGTAAGCTAATGGAGAGTAGTGGGAAAAGAATCCAGAGAAATTATGAAAGTTCACATCATGTAGGGTCCAATAAGCCATTGTAAAAAATTTGGCCATTACCTGTAGGAAATGCGTGGATTTGAACACAGTAGTTACATGACCTACCTGACATATTTTTAAAGGTTCACTCTTGCTGCAGCATTGAGAACAGACTGTAGAGTGTAGAAAGTAAAATCAGAAGCAGAAAGACCTTTTAGGAGCTTACTGCAATAGTAC
The DNA here is from genome assembly GCF_000001405.40 of Homo sapiens. Lineage (NCBI taxonomy): Eukaryota > Metazoa > Chordata > Mammalia > Primates > Hominidae > Homo > Homo sapiens. The sequence continues at coordinate 51,930,858 of NC_000002.12, forward strand.
AGGAGAGACATAATGGTGACAAAGATTGTAGACATTTTTAAAATGTTTTTAATGTTAAGAACAGATAAGAGCAATAACAGTGTATTCAGTCGTTCAGATGATACTTAAATCTTTGTCAGCAAAGCTTAATGGCCATAACGATTGAGTTTTAGATTCTAAGATCAGGCATTCTTGGGTTTACTGTCTCGATGATTGTGTGACCTTGAACACACTGACTTCTATGTATCTTGGTTTTTACATTCCTGAAATTGGGATGTTACGATATAATAGTTTTGTGAATCTGCCTTTTCAATTCTGGTCTGTCCTTTAAGTTCTAGTTCTGTATTTCTAAAATTCTTATTGACTCCTGAAATTGTTTATGCCACAAAAGTTGAAGATCTACATGTGCAAATTAAAAAAGCGCATACTATGAAAAATAGTGGAAAAGATAGACCTAATATCCTAATAGAAAAGAAACATGAAAAAGAAAAAAAAATTGTTTGGACTACAAGAAAGCAAGAAAGTGACATGATTAAAAAAATCATGAAAGTTTTCTATTTCTCAGAGGCTTCCTGGAGAGACCAGGAAGATGAGAGTCACTGACATGTGGAACAAATGTTAACAAATGAGAGACAGGAGTTCACTCAGATCCAGTAGATAAATTGATTCCTACTCTTATTCCAGAGAGTACTGCAGACTCAGTGACTTCTTGGGAAAGTCTTAAGTGACCAGGGAAGTAGAAGTGTTTTATTATATAACCAGAGCCAGCTCACTTACAGACACTTTAAATTGGCTTTATCTATTTTCCTTCCTTACTTATGATTTTCCTTCCCTCTTGCTTCTTTTAGATTATACTCTCCCCAAAAAATTGGTAAATAAGATTATTTCAGGCTCTAAGGAATTCAGACTATTAATACACTGACCATTGAAACATTTAATTGTTTCTTATTTTAATGAGCACAAACACTGGGATCTTTCACGTGACTCTGTAGTCATGTAATGCCTGGCATCTGCTACTCATTTAAGAACATTCTCCTTGTTCTTAAAGTTCTGCGTACTCTGATTTTTTCTTTTTTCTTTCTTTCTTTCTTTCTTTCTTTTTTTTTTTTTTTTTTTGAGACTGCGTCTCACTCTGTCGCCCAGGCTGGAGTGCAGTGGCATGATCTAGGCTCACTGCAAGCTCCGCCTCCCCGGTTCATGCCATTCTCCGACCTCAGCCTCCCAAGTAGCTGGGACTACAGGCACCCGCCACCACGCCCGGCTAATTTTTTTGTATCTTTAGTAGAGATGGGGTTTCACCGTGTTAGCCAGGATTATTTCGATCTCCTTACCTCATGGTCTGCCCGTCTCAGCCTCCCAAAGTGCGGGGATTACAGGCGTGAGCTGTCGCTCCCGGGCTTCTTTTCTTTTTTTTAGTATTTCAAGTTCTTTCAAACCCCAGAAGCTTTATAGCAATTTCTGTGCACTGCTTACCCGACTTTAACCTTCCTACCGCTATAATTTATATTCATTCTTCAGGTCTCAGCTTAAATTTCACTTGTTGAGGGTTTCCTTTATCCTCTATGTCTAGATAAAATTTCCTTGATATACTCTCATATTATTCTGTACATATCATTCACAAATCTCCATCTAATTCTAAATAAATAATCTGTGATGCAACTATTTATCTGTTTAATGTCTGGTACCGAACTCACCCAACTGTAAACTCTATGAAGGAAGATATAATATCTTTTTTCCTTTTTCAGTAGTAAACTCAGTGTTTACCAAAGTCTAACAAGTAGTATACATTCCATGAATATTTAATAAGTGAACAAGTGAGTAAATAACTCAAAAATAAAACTAAAAACTAAAAAAATCTTCTTCATATTTTAAAAGTGATGTGACTTGACAAATTATTTAATGACAATGGTGCTTGAAGTGTTATGTAGTAAAAAAGCACAAGAAAATAGACCTCTGTAAGAACTGTGGCATAACTTGGAGAAAGTGTCTGTTTAAAGGTCTGTTAATGCTTCAGTAATAGGGCCCAAAGGGATATTACTCTACTGGTTTTGTCATTTCTTAATTAGAAAATAAAGCTTTTCTTTCCAAATTCATTAAAGCAAGACAGATTTATGTATCTTAGATGAGTTTGTGAAACATACATGCAAAGTTATGTACCACATAATGATGTTTCAGTCAATAATGGACCACATATACACTGGTGGTCTCAAGATTATAACATCATAGTTTCACTGTGCCCTTTTTATGTTTAAATATGTTTAGATACACAAATGCTTACTATTGTGTTACAATTTCCTATAGTATTCAATACGTAAGTTGTTGCGCAGGTTTGCAGCCTAGGAGCAATGGGCTGCACCATACAGCGTAGATGTGTAGTAGGCTACACCATCTAGGTTTGTATAAGTCAATTCTATGATGTTTGCACAATGACAGAATTGTCTAATGATGCATTCTCAAAATATTGCTGCATGCATTAAGTGATGCATGACTGTATTTAAAATATATCTTGACTTTTGTCTCATATGCCAAATCTGAAATGTTTATTAATTCAATTATAGTTTTAAAAAATAGTGAGTGTATTACACAGAAGAATTAGGAAATAATTTTTCAGGTTAGCAACGAATTTTGCTTGGGTTTTCTCCATCAATTTTCAAAAAGAAGAATTGAAAGAAACATAGAATAAACAATATCAGTTATTATACGAAGGGAGATTAAATATCTGAGAAAAAAGTGATTTGTAAAAAATCAATATTTTGTCTCCTATTTTCAATTTTGATTTTATTTTTGATAGGCAGGTTTTCACTTTGTCACCTGGATGAGAATACTAGGATAACGTGGCAAGGAAAATATTGCTATAGATTAAAAAAAAATAATGTGATCAATGTACAATAGAAAAACAGTATGATGGGTAGAATTTTAAAATGGCCACCAATCGCCCTCACCCTTTTATACTCCCCTCTCGTGAAATGTGGACAGAACCTGTGAAAATGCTGTGTTATCACTATCAGGATTATATAGTTGCAGATGTCATCAATGTAACAAATCAGTTGATTTGGGAATCAATAAAAAGGGTGATTCTGACATAATCACATAAGCCTTTTAAGCAGATGGGTTGTTTTTGTTTCTGTTTGTTTGTCCAGCTAAACTCAGAAGAGAAAAGCAAACAGTCATATTGCAAACAACCTACACAGAGAGGTGGCCTCTAGTTTCTGAATGAAGTCTCCAGCTGAGGGCTAGTAATAAAACAAGGACCTCAGTCATACAACCACAAGGAACTAAATGAACCTGAACAAGGACGCAGGGCCTCAGATGAAAATTGTATCCCCAGCTAGCTAAAATATTGATTACAGCCTTGAGAGTTCTGAGACAGAAAGTTGTTTCCAACTAAGATATGTCTAAATTCCTAATTCATGGAGACTGTAAGATAATACATGTATGTTGCTTTTACTTCCTATGTTTATAGTGGTGTGCAGCAGTATAAAGTAATCTAGGTAGTATACTCTATTTTCTTTTGTCTTTTACTTTTTTCCTAACAAGCAAGCAATATTTTAAGTATTTCAAGCTAGTTAACATCTTATGCCCTGGGCATATACTTTGCATATCAGAAAATATAGTAGGCAATGACAAAAGCCAGCTGAAGAAATGAGAATGTATTCTGTAGATTTCTTCCTCAGTGCCATGAGTACAGTTTATTGTCCTTATCTGCCACTTTATTTAAGAACATTTTCTGAGAATCTATGACGTATCAAGTGGTAAGTAGAGAATTGGGGGAAAAAATGGAAAGTCATGGTCATTATCCTCAAGAATCTTAAACTTCAACAGAAAAAGATGGAAAAATTAACCAGGGTTGCAGAAAGACTTGCAGATTAGCTTGAGAAACTCTTTAACAACCTACATCATTCAATGAAATTGAACACTCAACGGATTAAGTATTTTAAAAGAGAAAACAATCCTCCTTCGTTTGTATTATAAAATTACATAGAAATATGAAATTGGCTCATCATTCCATCTCCCAAGTCTCCTTTTCAATGTCACACATCCTCAAAAATCTGAGATTTTCCTCTCAGGATGAGTATAATTGGTGATTAATATGGTGTTAACTATTCATCTTCATTCATGACTCAGCTGCTGAATGCTACGTTTTAGGAGCCTGGACTGTTCTCATAGGAAATAGTCTTGGAGATAGAGATGTATCTTAAAGGATCACATGAACACCCTCAGAATGCCCACCCACAAGAAAAGGCTAATCCTTTCACTGCGGCTCAGCAGAAGCAAACCTACTTCTAACTAGTTCATTCTTCTTCAAATTATTCCATTAGCTAGTCAGAGGATTATCTTTCACAGTTGGTTCCCCCAATATACAATCAACAGTAGTAGGAGTTTAATGATTGTTTAGACAGGACAAGGAGTTAATTTGTATTACTGAATATTCTTGAGGCTATCTTTTGCTGTCCCATCAAGCTATCTCAGATTTATTGTACACCAAAACATCCTCACTGTATACATTAAACCTAGTCCATGTGATTTTAATTCCTTTAATTTCTCAAGAAATTATATTTATAACAGTATTCTTTGGAAATGATCCCATACAGTATAAATCTATGTTTTTCTCATCTCTTCATGATGCCTGGCAGAGGTGGTTAAAAAAGAAATGGAGTTATAGAGGCCTGTTGGTATCCTATGAGGACATCAACTTTCAGTGAGACAGTACTCCCTTCTGTAATAAGCTTTAAAGTAGGTAGCTCACTTATGCAAAAGAGAAAAAAATCTTTTCTGAGATCATATCCCACCACTCATAAGGTTCAGTGCTTGTGTAGCAAAAGAAATGTGGGCCAGATTTTAGGACATACCTGCACTAGTCTTGGTGGAAGCCCCAGACAGAGAAGAAACCAAAAACACTTCATAGAGAAGATGGTATTTTAATTTAGTCAAGAAAGTTAAGTAGTAATTTGGATGAGGGAAATAGAAAACCCATGGTCTAGAAAAAGAAAAAAAAAGTCCAGATGTTTGGAGGTTTGAGAGAGTTAATTACATTCTTAAACTTGGGAAAATGTTAGTTGACTCTGGCTAGAACAGATGGTTTTTCTGGGGTAATGGTAAGATATGAGGTAAGATGCATGCGGCAGGGTCATAGCTTGGGCAAATCTGTCACTTGGGACATATATATATGTATATATATATATGTATATATATATACGTATATATATATATGTATATATATATATGTATATATATATATGTATATATATATATGTATATATATATGTATATATATCAGTAAACATGCAGATATTCTGGATAGTCATACAATAACAGCTAATTTGCATATATAATCAGAGTATCTGCTGTGGTATAGTGAGAAGGAACACTAAGGAAGGAAGGAATTCCAAGTACTAATTTCAACAACCAGAATGGACAGACAATTTTTAATAGAACGTGTTCACAGTTACCCTAATTGTTGATGCCTGAATTCCAAAGAAAGGGATTATGATATGAAACATGAAAAAAAAAAAAACTAAACTAGGCACATATAGAATTAGCAGACTCAGCATCACTGGCACTGGCAACGATAGGTTGTCATAATCCTTTTCAAGATTATGAGCCTAAGAGGAAATATCCCAACATGGAGGGAGAGAAGTGGAATATGTTAGATACCACATGGCAATTGATGGGAGTATGCTCAACAGAACAAGGGAAGTGTGATTTGGGGACTCTGGGAAGTAGTTATCACAGATAGATCCCTATGAGAAAGCTGAGATCTAGTCAAAGAAATTCTAGTTTGTAACTGTGGTCTTGATTGCACCTGCAAATCACTATGGCCAGGGGAAACACGTGCCTGATTCGGACCAGAAAGTTCTTCAGAATCTCCAAGTATTTCATATTAGCTGTAATATATTCCAGGTAACGGAGATTCTTCTGATGATATATAAATAATATATTCATTTTTAGGTTTTTCAAATCAAAATATGAGAACTTTATTAAGGAATATTAAGGAGATGGGATAAGATTTTGTGTCAAGGTCATGATGTTAATAGAAACTGTAGTCCTATAGAATATGAGCAAATTTATTATGAGCTCTTTTATGCCATTTATTGACAATTTTGTTTAGTATTAGATGTTGAACAGAATAGAAATACAGCTAGTATTCCTGTGGTAGATGTAATAGGTCATGTCCTTAGTCTTAGGCAAAAATGATGCATTTCCTCAAGACTGACATTGCTTATTGAATTATACGATACAGGTTTTCAGCCTACCTATATCACAGTCATCTAAGTTGCATACTAAATTACAGATTTCTGCTTCACAAACCAGTGTACATGAATTAGACGTGCTGGGAATAATTTCAGAAAATCCTATTTGAAACAATCCCCTCAAGTAATTTTTTTAACGAGCATAAGTTTTGAACCATGAACTAAGCTAAAAATTCCATGCAAGTTGGAGAGGGAATGTCATGTCTCTCAGGTTTACTAGTATTTCTCTAAATACTAGCATATGCTGTCTATTCAAACATATTTGTTCAGGGAATTCGTACAATCAATAGAACAAGAAAAGTAAGTGATATCTTTTTGCCTAGACTCTTTCCAAATATACAGAGTAAGACTTGGAAGACCTGCAGATATACAAATGCACAAATTCATTTATTCATACCAACTTTGTATTTTTCAAGGCCACTGCTATGTCTTCCTAGTTATAAAATAAAAACTTTGAAATGGCAACAAGATAATGTTGGCTTTTAGAAAGTTGGCAAAACTTAAAATGAAACAGTTTTTAGTGAGTTTGTGAGAAAACCCTTCTTTCTTACATGGTTATTCCAAAGGGCAATCTGGAAATAATAATCAAAAGTGAAAAAATGCACATCCTTTGAATTACTTATTCCATTTATGGAAATTAGACATAATTGAACAAGTATGCAAAGGTGTAGATACAAGGATTCCAGTGCATAATTGTCTATAATAGGAACAAATCAGAAATAACCTAAGTTCCGAATAAGGGTATATTGGAGAAATGGATAATGATACATTCATAATTCTGAAAAGTTTAGAGTTACTACAAAAATAACAGATTGTATTCTGATATAGATTTATAATAACTGTTCATTTTTTTGTAAAAATGTTACTGACTGGCATATATAGCATAACACAATGTACAAAATATATATTTTAAATGTTCATGGTCTTTATATTTACAGAAAATACCTGAAAGCCTACAATAAATCTGGTAATAACAGTTATCTCTGTTGAATGTGATTGCTAGTGACCAAGATAGGTACATTTACATTTTACTACTTTTATAATTATTTGATTTTTTATCTTCAGGCATATATTACTTTTATAATAGCAAATTAATACATTGTTTTGATGATGTATACCAATATGTACAGGAACCCCAACATTTTACCATAGATAGCTTTTAGATGTGGAAAGAGATTTATAATAAAAATAATTCCCTATATAACACTGTGAGAAAAGTAAGGTAAAAAGACAGCATTTTTTCCTATGTCTAAGATATAAGTATGTGAATATAGGTGGTGATATAGAAAACTATTGATAAATATATGCAAAATATTAATAGCAATTTATTTTGGGTAATGGGGTGCCAGTAATTTTCACTTTGTTTATATTTCTTTTGATTCCTAAATCTATGAAGATAAATTAATGGGACATTCTCATTTTGTTTTAAATAATTGATTTAAAGTATTTGTATATTTATAATACTCTTCACTTCTAAATTGATCTAGTCTATTTTCATAAGGACAAAAAATTCATCTGCTGTTTTATTTTAAAACTCCAGGTATAGCTAGATGAATATTAAATTTACATCAATTAACACTTAAACTATTAATTGAAATCCAGTTAAATTTACTTATTTTTAGAAATTAAATATATTTCATATAATTTATATCCTAAATAAATATTAACAAAAATGCGTAACATTTTCTATTACTCAATTTTAATATTATTTGTCAATTAGATTTATTTCTGTCATAATCATTAAAAGCTAATGCATTTTAGTATTCTAATACAATTTTGTTTCAAGCCAATGCTGAAATACACAATTGATTCTCTCACTGGTTTTCTCATCATTCAGTGGGTCAAATAGTTAACTAGAGTAGAATCACTCTTAATTGCTATCATCTGTCGGTAGTTAACCCACCCAGATTTTCCAAGGCTACTGTCAGATTCTTTTTTTTTTTTTTTTTTTTTTAATGTTTTTTTTTTTTTTTTTTTTATACTCTAAGTTTTAGGGAACATGTGCACATTGTGCAGGTTAGTTACATATGTATACATGTGCCATGCTGGTGCGCTGCACCCACTAACGTGTCATCTAGCATTAGGTATATCTCCCAATGCTATCCCTCCCCCCTCCCCCGACCCCACCACAGTCCCCAGAGTGTGATATTCCCCTTCCTGTGTCCATGTGATCTCATTGTTCAATTCCCACCTATGAGTGAGAATATGCAGTGTTTGGTTTTTTGTTCTTGCGATAGTTTACTGAGAATGATGGTTTCCAATTTCATCCATGTCCCTACAAAGGACATGAACTCATCATTTTTTATGGCTGCATAGTATTCCATGGTGTATATGTGCCACATTTTCTTAATCCAGTCTATCATTGTTGGACATTTGGGTTGGTTCCAAGTCTTTGCTATTGTGAATAGTGCCGCAATAAACATACGTGTGCATGTGTCTTTATAGCAGCATGATTTATAGTCCTTTGGGTATATACCCAGTAATGGGATGGCTGGGTCAAATGGTATTTCTAGTTCTAGATCCCTGAGGAATGGCCACACTGACTTCCACAATGGTTGAACTAGTTTACAATCCCACCAACAGTGTAAAAGTGTTCCTATTTCTCCACATCCTCTCCAGCACCTGTTGTTTCCTGACTTTTTAATGATTGCCATTCTAACTGGTGTGAGATGATATCTCATAGTGGTTTTGATTTGCATTTCTCTGATGGCCAGTGATGATGAGCATTTCTTCATGTGTTTTTTGGCTGCATAAATGTCTTCTTTTGAGAAGTGTCTGTTCATGTCCTTTGCCCACTTTTTGATGGGGTTGTTTGTTTTTTTCTTGTAAATTTGTTTGAGTTCATTGTAGAGAACACCAGTGACTAATCAATTATTGTTTAAGCAGCCATCAAATATTCTAAGATAGGAAGAAGCAAGTAATTTAGGAAACAAAATTAAAAAGAATCACAATATGTTATTGCTCATATAAGATAATTTTCATAGGCCTAGCACTTAGAATACGAGTATGCCATTAGTGATATAGATCACACCAATTTCAATAAAAAGTATCACTGGTCTTCTAATATATATATACATAGTTATTTTATTTTCTAAATCAAAAATATTCATGTACATAAAAAGTCATTTTTCTTTTCTTTAGTTGTTTTACAAAAACATTAATGAAAAATCTTTAGGCAATGTTTTAGAACCTTGCCAAAATGTGGGGTGGCTTTTCTTCAGTATCATACTTTGAACCCTTTAACTGCAAAGATATGCGACTTTCAAGAACTAAGAGAATACCAATCAAAGATTTTCTCCTGTCTAGTTTTTGGTTTTCCAAGACAGTCCCAACAACACAGTATTCTTTAAAATGTGTGACAATCCAGGACCCCAAGCCACTGTACTCACTCCTACAAAAAGGCAGAGGCTAAGAGCTCATAGCCAAGTTCTCAAAGTGTGACTGAACTTATGTGACAAGGATGTGAATCCTTTTATGGCTACCCCATTGGAACATTCAATGGTGATTCTCTTATACTATGCAAAGTATATACGAGAACGATATTCCTTCACAACCTTTGATCTCTTCCGCTTACTAGAAACTATGTGACTCTATTATCTCATGGAAACATTACAGATGAGGTGAGGATAAATTTTGTACAAAAATAATTTTCCACACTAAAGTTGAAAACATATTTTTCTTCTCTTTAGGCAATACACATAATTTGCTCTCTTGGAAGAGTTATACAGATTTTAGAAGGGTTATTTTAAAGAGAAAAAAGGGTTTTATTTTCATGAATATGTTTTTTAAAAGTATTAGGTTGGTGCAAAGTAATTGTGGTAATTAAAAGTAATGGTAAAAAAATGCAGTTACTTTTGCACCAACCTGATATATTCACTGTATGATGAGTATTAGGAAGCTCTTTAAGTACCGTAAATGGAGAATTGGTCAAGGATTCTTGATAGCTGTTAGACATTTAACAAATTGCATTTATTGAAAAAAAACAAAAAATAATAAATTCATTAACGTGGTCTATAATCATTCCAAATGTATTGTGGCTATGCAAATGGAAGTTGGAAACAACATTGAGGCTGTAAAATGGTGTCGTTGTTGGTGTTGGCCATTAGAATGTGATGGTTAAGAACATAGATTTGTGTTTCATAAAATAACTGGGAAAAGTTGTGTGTACATCAGAGGTAGGGATTTTGGGGGCCATTTTCAAATTCTACCTATAACACATATATTATCTAATTTAGATGTCATAATGACTATTCAAGCAAGCCATTAGTATATCTTTTTATTATGTAGAAAATAGAGAGGCTCACTGCATGTTGTAACATTTTGTAAGGTTTTATGAGCATGGTTTTGGCTAGAGTCCTGCTTAAATACACCGTTACTAAATTTTGAGATAGTGGAGACTTAACAGAGAACTGGGGGTTATATAGACCTATAAAAACTGGAAGTATTTAATTACACAGAGAAAGATGATGGCATTCCAGGTGAAAAAAAATAACGTAAGCAATAGGACAAGGATAATAAAAACCAGGATTATTTTATAAGAATGAATAGCCTTCCAACTGTAGAAAAGAAGTCATGTATGGATAAAATAGTGAGTGATATTAGAGGGGTTTGAAGCCAAATGTAAATGGTCTCCCATTCTAGACTAAAGAGTTTGCCCTTTGTCCTGAGAACAGGGTTTTAGGGATTCTACCAATGATGATGAACAATGGAGCCCAATTTCCCCTTTAATTAATTACAATTACCCAAAAGAGATCAAGAGCCAGAGCAGGCCACTAGCATGACCACATCCAGAGTTATGCACCCAACTTCTGTTACAATAAAGAATTCTCTGCTTCTGCCTATCATGTAGTTCTACCAGGGCTAGTTTGTTTGTATTTTATAATTACTTAGATTCCCTCACTTTGGGTTCTTAAAACATACATGTAGTCATTCATTTATTTAAATAACATTTACTAAGCTACTTGTCTATGCCAAGCACTGATGAATGTTTTATCTTTGACCTTCAAGATTTAGAAAAGTGTATAGAATGTGGTAAGTACTCTTTTACACAATATACGAATATAGTAACTGGACTTATTCTGCACTTATATAATATCTGTATCCATACCAGTTGTTAGGGGAAAACATGGTTCATGCCCTTGGATAACTGGAGAAATATTACAAACACACAGGAAATAACTAAGAACAGTTTAACCTGTGAGGTACTAAAAATATAAATATGACATATAATATTATATGAATTCTGAAAAGGAGGAGCTGAATTGGGCAGGATTTACCAGCAAAGGCCCCAACAGGGTTAACACTTAAATTGGGAACTTAAAGACGAAAAAAAGGTAGCTCAATCATCAAGAGCAATTCAAAAATCCATTTAGGAAGGGGAAATTAGTGACACAAAATTGTGTGTTACTGAGGATAACCTAGTCTGTCTTAATATCAGATATTTAAATAAATATTTTCCATGATTGCGGGATTTAAAAATCAGAATGATAGGAAAGTGCCAATCTCATCTTAAATTATTATTTTCTGGGATGTCTTTGACAGCATTAATTTATGTGTATCACATATTAATCCTGCCTCTAGAATGCCATGTGATATGGTTTGGCTGTGTCCCCACCCAAAATCTCATCTTGAATTGTAATCCAAATTGTAATCCACATTGGTTGGGAGAGGGACATCATCAGAAGTGAATAGATCATGGGGGCAGTTTCCCCAAGCTGTTCTCATGATAGTGAGTGAGTTCTCATGAAATCTGGTGATTCTATAAGGAGTTTTTCCCCACTTTGCTCTGCACTTCTCTCTCCTGCCACCATTTGAAGAAGAATGTGTTTGCTTCTTATTCTGTCACGATTGTAAGTTTCCTGAGGCTTCCCCAGCCATGAGAAACTGTGAGTCAATTAAACCTCTTTTCTTTAAAAATTACCCAGTGTCAGGCAGTCATTTATAGCAGCCTGAGAACAGACTAATACAGTAAATTGGTACTGAGGTAGGGAAATGCTGCTGTAAAGATACCCAGATGTAAGGAAGTGACTTGGGAACTGGGTAACAGGCAGAGGTTGGAACAGTTTGGAGGACTGAGAGAAGATAGAAAGATGTAGGAAAGTTTGGATCTTCCTAGAGATTTGTTGAATGGTTTTGACCAAAATGCTGATAGTGATATGGACAATAAAGTCCAGGCTAAGGTGGTCTCAAATAGAGATGAGGAAATTCTTGTGAACTGGAGCAAAGGTGACTCTTGTTATGCTTTAGCAAAGAGACTGGCGACACTTTGCCCTTGCCCTATAGATCTGTAAAACTTTGAACTTGAGAGAGATAATTTAAGGTATCTGGTGGAAGAAATTTCTAAGCCATGAAGTGTTCAAGAGAAAGCAGCATAAAAGTTTGGAAAATTTATGGCCTGATGATGCAATTGAAAAGAAAATTCTCCCCACTGTCTGGGGAGAAATCCAAGCCAGCTGCAGACATATGCATAAGTAATGAGGAGCTGAATGTTAATTGCTAAGACAATGGCGAAATGCTTCCAGGTCATGTCAGAGACCTTCACAGCAGATCCTCCATTCACAGGCCTGGAGGCCTAGGAGGGAATAATGGTTTTGTGGTCCAGGCCCAGGCACCCCTGAGATGTAAAACCCTGGGACATGGTGCCCTGTATCCCAGCTGCTTCAGCTTCAGCCATGGCTAAAAGGGGCCCAGGTACAGCTCTGGTCACTACTTCAGAGGGTGCAAGCCCCAAGCCTTGGAAGCTTCCATGTGGTATTAACCCTGTAGGTGCACAAATGAAAAGAACTGAGGTTTGGGAACCTCCAGCTGCATTTCAGAGGATGTATGGAAATGCCTGGATATCCAGGCAGAAGTTGGCTGCAGGGGCAGAACCCTCATGGAGAACTTCTGCTAGGGCAGTGCAGAAGGTAAATGTAGGTGCCCGAACAAAGAGTCTAAACTGGGACACTGCCTAGTGGAGCTTTGAGAAGAGGCCCACAGTCCTCCAGACCCTAGAATGGTATATCCACTGACATCTTACACCATGCACCTGGAAAAGCCACAGACACTCAATGATAGACTGTGAAATCAGTCAGCAGGCCAGCTGTACCCTCCAAGGGCACAGAAAAGAGCTGCCCAAGATCATAGGAATCCACCTCTTGCATCAGTATGACCTGGATGTGAGACATGGAGTCAAAGGAGATCATTTTGGAACTTTAAGGTTTAATGACTCCCCTACTGGATTTCAGACTTGCATAGGGTCTGTAGCCCCTTCATTTTGGCCAATTTCTCTCATTTGGAACAGGTATATTTACCCAATGCCTATACTCTCATTGTATCTCGAAAGTAACTAACTAGCTTTTGGTTTTGCAGGCTGTAGGTGGAAGGGAGACTTTGGACTTAGACTTTTGGGTTAATGATGAAATGAGTTAAGAATTTGGGGGATTGTTGGATAGGCATGATTGTTTTTTGAAATGTGAAGACATGAGATTTGGGAGGAGTCAGGGGCAGAATTACATGGTTTGGCTCTGCGTCCCCACCCAAATCTCACCTTGAATTGTAATCCCCATAATCTCTACTTGTCAAGGGTGGGACCAGGTGGAGGTAACTGAATCATGGGGGTAGTTTTCCTCATGCTCTTCTCACGATAATGAGTAAGTTTCATGAGATCTGATGATTTAATAAGCATCTGGCATTTCCCTCTCTTCTTGCACTCCTTCTCTCCCCTGCCACCCTGGGAAGAGGTGCCTTCCTCCGAGATTGTAAGTTTCCTGAGGCCTCCCCAGCCATGTGAAATTGTGAGTCAATTAAACCCCTTTCCTTTATAAATTACCCAGTCTCAGGCAGTTCTTTATAGAGAAGTGAGAACAAACTGATACAACATGAGATGTCTTTTCAACAATGGAACTAAAGAAAAATAAAATTTAAGAACTGCAAAATTAATGTGATAATTATACTACTTTATTATTTTGATTTTATTTTCAATAGTTCATGTGAGCTTTTATCTAGACTACTAATTTACATCCTATAAATTTACATATCCAGTCACATTTATTAATAGGAAAATAGTTGAGGAAGTACAGCTGACATTTTTCTCTTTAAAAAAATGTGGTGAAATAAAATGTTTTCTGGGAAAATATAAATTAGGTCATTTATATTGCTTACTTGTTTGGAAAAGAAAGGCCAACCAAAAAACAAAACAAAGCTATTTATTACATATAAGGGAAAAAAATCAAGTAATACTTACATTTCTCATAGCTATATTTAATGGTTAAAAAATGATGGGAAAGTTTATGAGATCCTCAGGTAAAACCAATCTATTAAAGCTAGTAACTGTGTAACCAATCAAGTTGGTAAATTTAACAAATCAAACAAACTTAAAACATTATACTAAGTGAAATAAGCCAGCCACAGAAATACAAACACTGTACAATGTCACTTATATGTAGAATCTAAAAAAAGTGATCTCTTAGAAGTAGAGAGTAGAATGGTGGTTTTCAGAAATAGGGTGTTGGTGAGAAGGGGTTGGGGAGATGTAAGTCAAAGGCAATAAAATTTTAGTTAGATAGAATGAGTAACTTTAAGAGATCTGTGGTACAACATGGTGACTATAGTCAATAACATATTTTATTCTTGAAAAATTCAGAGTGGATAGATATTTATTGTTCTCATCACAACAATGACCACTATGTAAGGTAATGCATATGTTACTTAGCTTGATTTAGCCATTTCACAATGTATATTCATTCAAAGCATCATATTATGTATTATAAATATATACAATTTTATCAATTTAAAAAAAAATTTAAAAATACACAAACTGTAGAGAAAATATACCTTTGAAATTTTTAAAATAAGCTATTGGGTGTTGAAATTCTACAAACCAAAATACAGAGAAGTCATAACAAACATTGAAACTTTTTAGATATATAAATAAGGTTAATAATTGGAAGTTAGGAATACAGAAAAATGTAAAAGTTACAAATATTGATAATAGAGCTATTAAGAATATAGAAAAATGTAAATGTTACAAATTTTAGTAATGTAGCTATTAACAAAAATTGAGAGGAAGAAGGAGAAACATGGGAGAAACATAAGGATGCTGTTCTTCTCATTATATATAATTGAGTACTAAAGGTATTATTATAGATTATAAATCCAGAAATAATAATTTACACATATAAAGATGTAGAAGTAACCAGTAGTATGAAAGTAACATTGTTTTATTTTTGTAGCAATATTTATATACAACACTTTTATGATACCATTTATATACGTAAGAACAAAAACTTGAATAATGATAGTGTATTAGGGTTCTCAAGAGGGGCAGAACAAATAGGATCTATGTATATAAGAAAGGGAGTTTATTAATGAAAATTGACTCACACAATCACAAGGTAAAGTTCCAAGATATGCCATCTGCAAGTTGAGATGCAAGGAAGCCAGTGGTGGATCAACCTGAGTCTCAAAACCTCAAAAGTAGGGAAGCCGACAGTGCAGCCTTCAGTCTGTGTCCAAAGGCCCTAGAGCTCCGGGAAAACCACTGAAGTAAGTCCAAGAGTCCAACAGCTGAAGAATTGGCAGTCTGATGTTCGAGGGCAGGAAGCATCCAGCATGGGAAAAAGATGAAGGCTGGAAGACTCAGCAAGTCAAGTCCTTCCACTTTCTTCTTCCTGCTTTATTCTAGCCACACTGACAGAGGATTAGATGGTGCCCACCCAGATAAAGGGTGAGTCTGCCTCTCCCAATCCACTGACTCAAATGTTAGTCTCCTTTGGCGACACCCTCATAGACACACACAGGAACAACACTTTGCATCCTTCAATTCAATCAGTTGACACTGGATATTAACCATGACAAGTCCACCCCTTGTCAATTTGAACCCATGCACATCTGTTAAAATCATAAATAATCTTTAAATAAGGACAATAATATGGTTGTAATTACACCTAACATAATACAGCTATCCTTCATACAACTGGAAGCACACTATTTCTTAACCTAAATGTTATTACATAGAGTTAATGACACTTAACTGCTGATACGAAGTCAATAAATCTTACGTCACATGATAAAGGGAAAAAAAGAAAACAAAATGAAGATATTTTCTTAGTACACATGTATACAAGAATAAACATGTTCATAACAAAATAAGGAGGAAATACTCATGAAAATTACAGTTCTTGTTTCTGCAACTGGTCACATGGTTGTAGCTGGTATTAGTGACTACCTTCTTCTACAACCTATTCTGTATTCCCTTTGCCTTCAGCAAGCACCTCAGCAGGTCATCGTTTTTTACCCGGTGGAGTGGTCCAAACCTTCATTCCTGAAGGGTCTGGGCCATTTGTAGTCCTGTCTTGATTGGGCTGTTGTAGTTTCCCATTGACCTTAATCACAGAACACGGTAATACTAAAAGATGCTGTAAGGGATCTCCTGTATTCCACACATACTCTTCCTTACCTCCACTGTGGAGTAGTAGACTGAATTCATCTTTAAAGTCTGGGTCAATCACCCCAGCCAACACTATAACTCCCTTCTTAGCCTGTTGATTTAGAGGTAGGAGGAGCCCAAAGTGGCCAGGTGGCAATCTTAAACTACCAGTTTAATGGAATCATTCTTGTGTCTTCTGGTGGTAGCATTCCTCCCTCTGGAACTAAGACCACTAGGTCCACAGAATGTAACGTTGAAGGAATAGGAAGCAATAATTTTGCTAGTTGGTCACTACGGGTGATGGTGGGTGCTGCCACTTCCACTTCCACCCCTTGATTCATGGACCTGTGAATCCTGGCTATGCGAGAAACAGTGCCATTTATTGGATGCTAATTCAGAGCATACATAGCCTTCTGGAGAACTTTGCCCCACCCCTGCAAAGTATTGTCACCTAGTTTGTGTTGTAACTGTGACTACAAAAAGCCATTCTGCCATTCTGTGAATCCAAATGCTGCAGTATTATGGGGAACATGGTAAGACCAGTGAATTCCATGAGCATGAGCCCACTGCCACACTTCTTTAGACATAAAAGTGAGTGGCTTGGTCAGGGGCAATGCTATGTGGAATATCATGACAGTGCATAAGGCATCCTGTGAGTCTTGGCAGAAGCATTGCATGCTAGTTGGCCAACCCATATCCAGAGTAAGCGTCTAATCCAGTGAGGACAAACCATTGCCCTTTCCATGATGGAAGAGGTCCAATATGATCAACCTGCCAACAAGTAATTGGATAATCACCCTGAGGAATGGTGCCATATCGAGGTCTGTGTTGGTCTCTGCTGCTGGCAAATTGGGCACTCAGGGGTGGCCATGTCCAGGTCAGTTCTGGTGAGTGGAAGTCCATGTTGCTGAGTCCATGTGTAACCTCCATCCCTGCCATGATGGCCACTTTGTTCATGGGCCCATTGGGTGATGACAGGGATGATAATCTCATCTTAAGTTGTAGTTCCAATAATCCCCACATGTCATGGATGGGACCCAGTGGGAGGTAATTGAATCATGGGGACAGCTACCTCCATGATGTTCTCATGAGTTCTAGTGAGTCAGTTTTCATGGGATCTGATGGTTTTACAAGGGGGCTTTTCCCCCACTTCACTCTACACTTCTCCTTCCTGCCACCATGTGAATCAGGACATGTTTGCTTCCCCTTCTGCCATGATTGGACATTTTCTGAGGTCTTCCCAGCCATGCTGAACAGTGAGTCAACTAAACCTCTTTCCTTTATAAATTACCCAGTCTATGGTATGTCTTTATTAGTAGCGTGAGAACAGACTAATTCACCAAGCTTATGAAGTAGCTATTCAACAAAAATGTTGGTTAAGTAGAAATCATTTTTTTCCTGCTCTAACAAAATGTCACAGGTTGGGTAATTTATAATAAACAGAAACTCATTGTCTCATGGTTTTGTAGGCTGAGAAGTCCACGAGGGGCTGGCATTTGTCAAAGGCCTGCTTTCAGAAGGGCAGATAGAGGGTTAGATAGACAGTGAGAGGGCAAAAATCTACTTCTCTGATAAGCAATCTACTACTGGGATAATACTGATAGTCCATTTATGAGGGTGGAGCCCTCATGACCTAAACACCTCTTAAACGTCTCATCTCATAACACTGTTAACAATTGCAACTACATATTTATATGAGTTAAGAGAGAACAAATACTTAAACTGTAGCAATCTATAATCATAAAATAGAGAATACATCTCCTATTTTAATTACTCATAAAATATTCACATAAATCCATGGAAAGAAAAGATACATTTACAAAATAAGAAATGTATAAACTGTTTTTCTTGATGACAATGCAGTAAAATAAAAACATAATAACTACTAAAGGGTGTCTTTTTATTAAATTATTTTAATAAAAACCACAGAAAACCTGATTATGTAAAAGATCAATACCATACAGAAAAGTACATATACAATAAGTCTAAGAAAAAAGAAAACAAAATAATAGCTACACATGATAAAATACACAATATAACTGAATATTATACACAGTTTTCAGCAAGTAAACTTGGAGTTCTTAATGAAATTCATAATTATTCTTAGTAAATAGAAACATTAATTCCACTAAGAGTAGTGGAAGTTAAATTTACACCCTCCTATCTATGCACCTATCTCAAATAATTTTGTAGGTTAAACCTACCAGTCTATAAATAAAAACAATTCTTACAACATTTATTTCAAAGCTTAAGAAAAATTAAAAGAATTTGAGTTAATCCATACCAAAATTAGATAAAGAACAAACTGTAATGATATGTGTGCAAATTTTTATGTATATGCAAACATTCTGAATAAATTTAAAATCTTAGAATTTCAAAATCTCTTTTACCTAGCAACTGGAAATCTATCAGCTATAAAATTCTA
Source organism: Homo sapiens (assembly GCF_000001405.40). Taxonomy (NCBI): domain Eukaryota; kingdom Metazoa; phylum Chordata; class Mammalia; order Primates; family Hominidae; genus Homo; species Homo sapiens. Next base: position 51,949,921 of record NC_000002.12, read on the forward strand.
TTTGTGTTGTTGCAAAACATTTTCTGCTAACTTTTTAAAAATTTGAAACATCATTTTTAATTGACAAAAATTGTATGTATTTATTGCATGTAATGTGATGTTTTGATATATGTATGCATCATCAAATAATTAAATCAAGCTAATTAACATTTTAGTCCTCTCACATACTTAGCATTGTTTTGTGTTGAGAACATTTCAAACTACTCTCTTAGTAATTATTAAGTACATAATAGATTGTTAACCATAGTCATCATGCTGTACAATAGCTCCGCAAAATATTTAAGTGAAATCATGTGATATTTGTCTTTTTTGTCCTAGCATAGGTCACTTACCATATGGTCCTCCAGGTTAGCCCATGTTGTTCAAAATGGCAGTTTTCCTTCTTCTTTAGGCTGAATAGCATTCCATTGTACATTTATAACACATTTTCTTTATCCATTTATCTATTGATGGACACTTAGGTTGATTCCATATCTTGGCTATTATGACTAGTGCTGTAATGAACATGAGAGTGCAGAAACCTCTTTGACACACTGATTTTACTTTATTTGAATACATATCTGAAAGCGGAATTGCTGGATCATATGATAGTTCTATTTTTAATTTTCTGAGAAACCTCCATACTGTTTTTTTATAATGACTGTACTCATTTACATTACAATAATATGCAAGAATTACCTTTCTTCCATGTCCTTCTCAACATTTATTGTCTTTTGTCTTTTTGATAATAGTCATTCTAACAGAAGTGAGAAGATATGTCATTGTGGTTTTAATTTGCATTTCTCTGACAAACTATGTTTAACATTTTAAAAATATAACTGTTGGCCATTTGTATTTCCTCTTTGGAAAAATGTCTGTTCAGTTCTTCTGCCCATTTTAAAATCAGATTATTTGTTTTCTACTATTAAGTTTTTCACTTCTTTGGTTTCTAAATTGTAAATCCATAGCATACACACTCAAGCCTTGTATTAGTCTGTTCTCATGCTGCTAATAAAGACATACCTGAGACTGGGTAATTTATAAGAAAAGAGGTTTAATTGACTCACAGTTCCACATGACTGGGGAGGCCTCAAAATCATGGCAGAAGAGCAAGGGATATATTACATGGCCGTAGATGAGAGAGAGCCTGTGTAGAGGAATTCCTCTTTATAAAACCATCAGATACTCTGAGACTTATTCACTATCATGAAAACAATTCGGAGAATACCTGCCCCCATGATTCACTTATCTCCCACAGGGTCCTTCCAATGACATATGGGAATTATGGGAACTACAATTCAAGATGAGATTTGGGTAAGGAGAGAGTCAAACTATATCAGGCCTTGATGACTACAGCAACTTCAATGATTAGTCTCTTTCCTTCTAGTCTTTCATATCTCTAATCTCTCCTACATATTCCTTTCTGAACAACCTTCTTGAAATAGTTTTCTTTTTCACTCTTTTCTCACCTGTGCTCAAAAATTTTTCTTATCTCTTCACCAACTGGCACTTAAAATGTCATTCAGTTTGCTATGACTTATAATTATAGCTTTATTTCTAAGGTCCCATCCAGACAACTGTAAACATCAACTGCTTTTTACTTTTCTCTGAAAAGTTCTTGAATAGTCTGAGCACTGTGGATTTGTTTAGCTTAGTGGCATCACCTGGAATGCTTTATTTCTTTCTCTCTGTCTTTTCAAACCCTTCTGACAGTTACGATTTACCTTAAATCCTATAACTTATGAAAAAAATCCCGCAATACCCCCAGTTGTTGTATTAGCCTATTCTCACACTGCAAATAAAGACATACATGAGGCTGGGTAATTTATAAGGAAAAAATGTTTAATGGACTCACAGTACCACATGGCTGGGGAGGCCTCACCGTCACGGGAGAAGGTGAAGGAGGAACAAAAGGGACATCTTACATGGCAGCAGGCAAGTGAGCATATGCAGGGGAACTGCCCTTTATAAAACCATTGGATCTCATGAGACATTCACTATCACAAGAATAGTTGGGAAACCACCCCACCTCCGTGATTCAATTACCTCTCACTGGTCCCTCCCAGAACACATGGGGATTGTAAGAGCTACAGTTCAAGATAAGATTTAGACAGGGACACAGCCAAACCATATCATTTTGCCCCTGGCAGCTTCAAGATTTCATGGCCTCATATTTCACAACCAATCATGCCCTCCCAACAGAGTCTTAAGGAATTTCAGCATTAACTCAAAAGTCCAGTTCGAAATCTCATCTGAGACAAGGCAAGTACATTTCACCTATGAGCCTGTAAAATCAAAAGCAAATTAGTTAATTCCTAGATATAATGGGGTAAAGGCATTGGGTAAATATACCCATTCCAAATGGGAGAAATTGGCCAAATGAAGGGGCTACGGGCCCTGTGCAAGTCCACAATCTGATAGGGCAGTCGTTAAACCTGAAAGCTCCAAAATGATCTATGTTGACTCCATGTCTCACATCCAGATCATGCTGATGCAAGAGGTGGGTACCCATGGTCTTGGACAGCTCCGCCCCTGTGGCTTGGCAGGGTACCTCCTAGTCCTAGCTGCTTTCACAAGCTGACATTGAGTGTCTGCAGCTTTTCCAGGTGCACGGCTTAAGCTGTTGGTGGATCTACCATTCTGGGGTCTGGAGGACATTGGGCCTCTTCTGAAAGCTCCACTAGGCAGTGCCCAAGTGGGTCTCTGTGTGGGGACTCCCACCCCACATTTCCCTTCTGCACTGCCCTAGCAGAGATTCTCCATGAGGGCTCCACCCCTGCAGCAGACTTCTGCCTGGACATTCAGGTGTTTTCATAAGTCCTCTGAAATGTAGGTGGAGGTTTCCAAACCTCAGTTTTTGTCTTTTGCATACCCACAGGACCAACACCACATGGAATCTACCAAGGCTTGGGGCTTGCACCCTCTGAAGCAACAGCTTGATCTGTACCTTGACCCATTTTAGCCATGTCTGGAGCAGCTGAGACGCAGGGCTACAAGTCCTGAGGTTGCACACAGCAAGCGGGCCCTGGACCCAGCCCAAGAAACCATTTTTCTTTCCTAGGCCTCTGGGCCTGTGATGAAAGGGGCTGCCATGAAGGTCTCTGACATGGCCTGGAGACATTTTCCCCATTGTTTTGGTGATTAACATTTGGCTCCTCATTACTTATGCAAATTTTTGCAGCTGGCTTGAATTTCTCCCCAGAAATGGGCTTTTCTTTCTATTGCTCTGCTTTTTCTTGAACACTTTGCTACTTAGAAATTTATTCTGGTAGATACCCTAAATCATCTCTCTCAAGTTCAAAGTTCCACTAGTCTCTAGGGCAGGAGCAAAATGCCACCAGTCTCATTGCTAAAGCATCACAAGAGTCACCTTTTCTCCAACTGACAAGAATTTCCTCATCTCCATCTGAGAGCACCTCAGCTTTGACTTTATTGTCCATATCACTATCAGCATTTTAGTCAAAGCCATTTAACAACTCTAGAAGTTACAAACTTTCCCACATCTTCCTATCTTCTGAGCCCTCCAAGTCTCTAGGAAGTTCCAAACTTTCCCACATTTTTCTGTGTTCTTCTGAGCCCTCCAAACCGCTCCAACCACTGCCTGTTTTCCAGTTCCAAAGTCACTTCCAAATTTTCAGTATCTTTACAGCAGTTCCCCACTCCCATTACCAATGTACTATATTAGTTTATTCTCATGCTACATATAAAGACTTACCTGAGGTTGGGTAGTTTATAAAGAAAAAGAGGTTTGATGGACTCACAGTTCCACATGGTTGGGGAGGCCTTACAATCATGATGCAAAGCAAAGGAGTGGGGATGGCATATCTTACATGGCAGCAGGCAAGAGAGTGTGTGGAAGAGAACTGCCCTTTACAAAAACATCAGATCTTGTGAGACTTATTCACTATCGTGAGAACAGCATGGGAAAACCCACCTCCATGATTCCGTTACCTCCTGCTGCGACCCTCCTACCACATGTAGGGATTGTGGGAGCTACATTTCAAGATTAGAGTTGGGTGGGGACACAGTGAAACCATATCAGTTATACACTATTTATTTATGTCTCTAATTTACATACAACCTACTTTCATTCTGTATTATGGTGCTTTCTGTATTATGGTGCTGTATTATGTTATGAAAGTAGGTTACATACAACTTACTTTCTGTATTATGGTGCTTTTTTCATTCCTTTATGCAAAAGTCATTTTAATATGCAGCTTCTGCCTTATACCAGGAATTCCTGAGGAATAGTGGTCATGCCTTAATTATCTCTGTAGATTCCAAAGCAACATGATTCCACAGAAAAATATTTTTAAAATGAAAGTATCTATGCTTACCACAAATCACTCTGTAATATTTATTCTTAAGAAAAGCTGACAGTTATAACATTAGTAGAACTAATATACTTAAAAATTGGGCTAGTAAGAGGAAGGTGGGTTGTTGTATGTTTCAGGTTTCTCTCTTCACATCCATATGAACCTTGTTAATACTAAACATTTTCAAGGAGATTTAAGGAATATAGGTCTCTAATTTTTCAATTAGACATTTCCCCTAAAATTTGTGTATCATTTTCTTTCATATTCAAGGATGGCATTTTATTCCATTCTATAATTTGATATTTTCTGCTTAATATTGGGCTTATTTCATGTATGATATTTATTCCATTGAGCTTGCTAACAATTTGTATTTTTATTGTGAACTGTGTTGCTCATTTATTTAGCAAGTATTTGCAAAGCAAATACTAGATGGCAGGAACTGTGCCTCTATTATTCAGAGAACTTCAAACAGAATATTTGGTGTTGTATGGGAAAATATGATTAATTTAGCTGCTTATACAACTTTAAATGTTAGTCAGATGCTGCAAAAACAAAAGTCATCGTAATTTACACAAGTTATTTGTTTCTCTTCACATGAAAGCTGCTGCTATGCCTTCCTTGGCACATGTTATTTACCCTATGTATCAGTCTGCAGCCACATTGAGCAAGAAGTCACATGGTGATCAAAACAGGGAAAGCTTAATATAGGAAACTATTCATTATAACTGGATGGGAATAACAATATATGAGCTAGTAAGAAATAAAGATGCCTCAACATAATAATATAGGAATAGCAGAGATGATACAATGTCCTAAGACATACTACCATATGACATGGCCACTGCACTAGGCTGAGCATTGAAGGAAGACCCTCTGCCACAACCTCCCCCAAACAAGGATGTGATCCAGATCTTGTTGGAGACAGCAAGGCTATAGCCCACAAAATGGAAGGAAAGTCACTGTGATGCTGCTCTGGCAGAAATCTCTGGAAGTATACTCTCTGAAGCTTACAGAAAATCACCCTTCCTGGCTGCCAGAGAAAGTTGTTCACAGAAAAGTATCTCATCAGAGACCACTCGGCTACAAAACTACCTGAACAAGGATCCTGGGGAACTGGATGGCAAGTGGGTAGTACTGGCTACCCTGCTGTAGTCAGGCACTGGAGAAGTGGCAAGCACTTCTTAGGGCTTAAAGGCTGGAATTGTTGATCACCTCACAGGAGCCCAGTGCTAGGGAAACTAGGAGCCTGCAAAAGTATCCTAGTACAAGAAGCAATCCCTTTCCTTTTGCAATCTCTCTTCAGCACTCCATTAAGAAAGCTTAACATTGTGTCAGTTGAAAAAAATGAAAATACTTAAAAGGAACCAGCCAATTTTCAAAGAATAGGGAAATAAGGGTGAATTTGGAACTAAGAGGCAATGTGTTGGTAACCAGCAAACCCTATTACCCAGAGTTGCAACTTCACCTAAATCATTGTGATCTTTTTCAAGACAACAGAAAGGAAGAAAGCAGAAAAATAAGGTTAACGCTTTGTTTAATTATAAATCCTGGAATTCACATGTAACCCTTCTGTTTTTGTCCCATTGGTCAAAACTAGTCACATGTCCACACTTAAAAGCAGGTTGGAACAGTTAGTTTAGTTTTAAGCAGTGCAGCTAAAATTCTTAACTTAAATATTAAGGAAGTAGTTAGTAATCCATATTAATGAAAACTGTCAGCTTCTGCCACATTTGAATTTTTATTTTTCATCTGGATTTGGTTTGTGTTATACGAGATAAATACAGTTAATTACTCATCACATAATTATCAGTATATTTGTTGATCTATTGTAAGAGCCATCTCTTTTCTTCACCAATAGTGATCTATTCTTTGCCCTATTTTTCCCAGCTTATAGTTTGCACCTTCACTCAGATATCACAGTTCATTGCCCTAACTCCCTGACACTTAGAAAAGCTGCTGATATCCAATGGTATATGGCAAGTGATTCCTGTTTTCTCAACTATTACTGCAAACAGGCACTTCTTAAAAATTCAGACATATTAGTGACTTAAATATAATGATGTTGACTGAAAAAAATCTTATGAAATGGGAATGTCACTGGAAGATTCAGTGATATATAAAATAATGAACATCTGACTTAAAAGTGGAAGACAATAGAATTGTTTACAAGTACAGAGATATCACTGACATCAAAAGACTTCAAATCTATTTGGGATATTTCACATTGTTCTGAACTGACTTTGTAATAGTCTTCATACTCAATTCTAACCAAATATTGAGCCTTCACAATGGGCCCAAACAGTGTTTTTGATGTAAGATACACATCAACAGGCAAAACAAACAAACAGAAAACAACAAAAAAGTTCCTTCTTTCACAGAGCTTATATTGCAGTGGGCTTGAGCGGTACTGCAGAAAAATTAAACAAACATATTGGATGCCACTAGAAAGAACAAGGATAATGAACTTCAAAATAGCACAAAGAGGAGAGGTTTTGTATTTACATTGGAAGACTAAGGTGATATATGTGCAGAGATAGAGAAAATGACTGAGCAAGCCATGTGGCTATCTGGAAAAAAAGGATTCCAGAAAAATTATGGAGCATTTACAAATGCTGTGAAGTGTATTTAAGGACCAAGAAGAAAGCCTATGTTGGTGGAGAAGTAAGTTATGAGGAATATAGTAGAAGATGCCATCAAGAAGATGGCAGAAACCGAATCATAGAGTCTTACTAGCCATGGTAAGAATGGACATTTCTGACACACGTAAAAGACATACAGTAGCAAGAATTACTCTCAATTTCCAACTACCTTTTCTGATTATTTAAAACTTATCCCCTTTTAAATATCTGCCTTTCGTGCTTATAAACTCAGATAACTATTTTAGAAAACAGGGCTGGATTAACAAGGGCAATTGGGTTGGCTATCAAATCAGAAAAGACTATCTATATCCTGGATCTCCAAGCTGCTTTCTGAAAATATCTTTCAAATAAGTGGTACTCTTAGATAGTACCTGACTGGTAAGCTATACTAAATTCAAATATTTAGGTGAAATAATTATTTTATTTATTTAATCTGAAAATCTTATATTCAATATGAAGTAATTATTAAAACACTCATGCACAATGTAATTAAATTATTTCATGGACACTGCCTTTCTCGGCTGGCTGTTGATCATATTTTTCATGCATCTTTAGATGAGGTTTGAAATATAAATTTTGTTACATTTTAGTCAGATAAAGTTAAGAGATAATAAAGTGCTATACATTTAGCTATATACCATGTACAAAATATAGAAATTTAATTAAAAAAAAGGACAATCTGGAGATAACATTAGACCTAAAAAGAAACTGCATAATGTATGAAGATGCTGTAAGTCTGCACTACTGAACTTTACAAAATTGACTTTCAATAAGAAAAAAGTAATCTGTATAAAAAGAAATTTATAAATTTTTGTTGCATTTTGTATTATTGTAATTTTACTATATACACATTAAAATATATTTTATCTGAAATAATACTTTTTTTCTGAAAGTGTTGATTTCTAATTCTCAAAATGTCATATTATCAAAATATAAGTCTAAAAACCTACAAAAGCAAATCTATAAGCCAAAAGACATACAAAAATGAAAAGCTAAGCTTCAGAGAAAAAATGCTATCCAATCTACTTCTATTATCCCCAATACTGTTTTTGAAAAGAAATAACTGTTCTCACAAACCACCAAAATGTGGGACTAGAATGCACTGCTTTGAATTATGCCCCGTGTTGATAATGCCTGGTAGTCTTGTTTATTGTTATGTTTATAGATCTCCACACTCAAGCTTTTTTGGGGGGGTTTTCCAGTCTTCCTGGCAGCTCCAAGCCACTTTAGAGAGGGGATAATTTGATACTTCAATTCTGTCCTTTAGGGGGATCTATTTCTCCATTTTAGATTATCAACCATCCCCTTTTATCACTAAGGCATACTTATGAGGTGATAATATTTTTCTTAGTTTTGATCTATGCCTAGGTGTCAGGATATAACCCCTGATTTTGTAGCTGAAGCTTTTGGGATCCTGCGGAAAAAAAAGGCTAGGTTCATGACAATCATCCCATTTTCCTCATTTACTCACCCAGTTTATAATAATCTCTTTATATCCAAGTTATATTTAAAATATCTTCTTTATCACTGTATCTCCAATGTCAAAATAGTTTCTCACACATAGTGACAGTCTAGTAATATATTTTTGCATTAATTTTTATCATATTGTGTTCAAATGGGATATTTTATTATTCTCATGACATTTTTTCCCTTTATATAACATCATGTTTTTTCCCAATTACAATAACTTTTCATTATGAACATTGACCATACCTTATTATGAGAGGAGAGGAGAAGGGGGTCAGTGGGATAAGGGGGGCAAGAACACTAGTAGACATAATGAATCACCTGCAACTTTGATCCCGAGAGAGACAGAGACAGACAGAGAGAGAAAGAGAGAGAGAGAGAGAGAGAGAGAGAGAGAGAAAGCAAAAGAAAGCTATAGCAACTAATGCTATTCAGCATTTTTCCAAAAGCACTGAAAAAATCGGGCTTCACCAGATAGAATTTTTACTGTATATATGTATATATATATATACACACACATATATATGTATATGTATATTTTGACTGTACATATATATAAGCATTGCTTCTCTTTTCTTTCTACATCTTAGTATCTGGTTTCCCGAAGATGTTTGCCCATAGGTATTTCTCTTCTCCCACTCTTTCCTTTGAATTTTGTATACTATGATTTTATCTGACAGTCATTTCTAAATGTCTATTTCTATGGTTAATTTTCTTCTATCCTTCGGGTTCATTTTTCTAACATCTTCCAACTAGATATTTCTAAATGACTATTCTATAGATTTTAAGAAAAATCTATTAGAAGCTAACATTATTTCTGTGGTCCACAAAATTTATCTTTTATTGGTGTTTTATGACAAGAATGCGCAGTTACATTCTCTAACAGAGAGTATAATGGATTTAAAGGAGTGTCATTCTGTTTAAATTAGCGATGTCCTCCCCAGCTCTGCTGTCCTCCACTACACTATTTCCTGACCCTGATGGTACCCTCAGAGTTCCTCTAGTGCCTAGAATATCATCTAATGTGAACGGGTGTTGCTTGTTGAATCTTGGGTTATGTATCTAAGGCTTAGGCATGGAATCACTGAATGCGGGAGGATCTTCTCCACTCTGAACTAGAGCTTACATCCCTATAAGAAAAAGGAGTAAAAATAAACAGATAATTAAACTGATTTCATTTTTAAATGGGGAGTTTTACATAAAGATCATGAATACTTAAAGAGATCATTTAAATCACAAATTTGAGCCACTGATAAGTATTTAAGGTACAAAAGGCTGATTTAAGCAATCAAGAAACACTCTATAACTTACACCAAAAAAATTCTCATTCTATTAAGTATCTGTGTTGAAAAGTTATGATTATTTATTTTACCTTATGTCAACATATGGAGCAGTTCTTAAGTGACTGAAAATTGATCATCCAAGGTCAACACATACCCTATTAGCCATTCAATAGTTTTCTTTACTAATGCCTGAGTAATCCTCAAGAATTGAAGTAAATGCCAGACCGTTTACCATTAAATATTCTGAGATACTATCATTTGTTTTCACAGAAAATAAATGGTGAAACATCAAATACATCCACGTAATAGTCACTGTGAGTGTCATAAGTAGAAATATGTATTTTTAATAAAGCATTGATACATTTATTTATGTAGTAAGCAAATATAGAAGGAAACTCAGATATGGAAAATTAGATAGATGCATGTGTCACCCATGACATTTACTATAATAACTTGGGTAAAAATCTCTCCTAGGAAGCTTTTATTGGCCAATAGAAGCATTTTAAATATCTAGTAATGCCTATAGAAATTTACCATGAATCAATGCTTAGTTAGGCTGCTCACATCTTGTTTAACAAAGTGTCTGTCTGGAGCAAAGCTGTGGCTTCAATGCATCTGGAAAGTGGGGTTGTGAAGTACATTTTTTTCCCAAATATGTATTTAAATGAGTTGCATACATGGGAACATTTTTAGTCCAAGTTAATTTTCTTGGACTACAAGAGGGAGATGCAGTGAATCTACAAGTGCCCCCTCCATAGCTTCTGTGTGTTTTTGCTTCTAACATCATACACCTGAGGAACATTACAAATACTCGAGCCATTTTGCTCATATCCTAAGAAGTTCACATCACACATACACAACTCTTAGCCAATGACAGACAGCTGCAGGAATGTGAAAACTCCCCTTGTTTAGCCTTAGCAGGGAAAAACACCGAGGCAAAATTTATACCCTAGAGCTCCCCTGTGGAAACATGATGAGGGTGGCTAAAATTGAACCCTTGCTTTGTTTCTTCCTCTTCCTTCTCCTGTTTCCCTGACATTTTTATAATTATCAGTTTAGAACACTTGCCTGATAAATCTTTTACATACTAATCTTCATTTCAAGAATATCTTGTGATACGTATGTGAGTATACATTTATTTTAGGGCAGACGCAATTGAAGTGCAAGAAAACAGAGAGAATCCTAGAGAGCATGGGATGTTAACTCTCCCTACCTACGCTTTTGGGCTGATTTGGAACCCAAAAAGACTTCAGCTTCTGGAAGAAGGCACTAGTTTATGAGCTACTTTTTGATTCAGAGTAATGTCCATGGTGTTTTCAGAATAAGATGACAAAATATAGGACAGGGTTAGGGAGAGGAGCATTTTCCACATTCTTGTGGAAAATTCCTTAATGCTTGGGCACCTCAAGTACTGTTGGCTTTAAAGCAACTGGGGAGAATAACCTCATTGGCATTGACATAGAGAGTTTTCGCAGTAGAGGCAGTGATGAGGCACCAGGAAGAGGAGGAAACGTGGAAAATCGTGTGCAGACTTGTTTCTGAGAACATGAGACACCACCTCAGGGAGATTCCATAAAGAATTGTGGGAGCTTATGGGAGAACCATGGAGAATATGAATCTTATTGTCATTGAGCTGTGATACATTCAGGTTACATTCATGAACTGTATATTTCTGAGAGACCTTCTATTTCTTTTCTAACTCAGTAATGCCAAGTATGTTGAGTGAAAAGGTGATAAAACTAATAGCTCACACTGCACCTGGTTTCTCAAAGCACTTAATTCTTGAATCTATTAGCAAATCTCCTGTGTATGTGGCTTTCACATCATTTTCCCCATTATTTTGGAGATGAAACGAGACTGAGACATGTTTAAATTCATATAGCTGTTATATAGTAGGAAATGTGTTTAAGCCCATGTCATTTAATTTCAAATCTCGTTCTATAGTTTCATAACACTGTACTATGAACACTTTAAGCTCTTCAAAGAAAAGTGAAAAATGTGTCGTATCTCTTATGTACCCTCACATAGAACTACTTTTAACTGTATACCTTTTCACCATACCATAAATGTCAATTTTCAAATGTTATTGCATTTGTAGAATTTCCAAAACAAGTTACAGCTGTAATCCCAGCACTTTGGGAGGCTGAGGCGGGCAGATCACCTGAGGTCAGGAGTTCGAGACCAGCCTGACCAACATGGAGAAACCCTGTCTTTATTGACAATACAAAAAATTAGCTGGGTGTGGTGGCCCATGCCTGTAATCCCAGCTATTTGGGAGGCTGAGGCAGGGGAATCGCTTGAACCTGGGAGGTGGAGGTTGCGGTGAGCTCAAATCACGCCATTGCACTCCAGCCTGGGCAATGAGAACGAAACTCCATCTCAAAAAAAAAAAAAAGAGTTACAGGTGCTAGTCTGGCAGAAAATAAGCCAGTAGAAACTAAGAAATACACAGAATTTAATTAAATCAACCTATCCAGATAAGTGCCCTTTGAAACTAATAAGAATACAGTATATTTAGGGATTTTCCACTGGGCTTGGATGACTTGGAGGTTTGGATTTCTTCCCATATGATTTGATTTAAATTTATTTTATGTGAGTTATTTGGTTGGATAATAGGCACATTAAAAATTCTAGTTGTCTTCAGACTGACTTATTTTCTTCTATTGTATTTTCAGTAGTTGTCAAATTTTGGATACCATAATTTCAAAGATCTTGGAATTCTGTGTGTATGCGGACATGCATGCATTCTTCTGTGATAAATGATATATTCAAGGTTCAGAGGGAGAAAGTATTGTTAACAAAAAATTATCATAAATAAGATTCATAAGAAATTATTATCTTGATATGGATTCTCCTTGAAATAGCAATACCAAAGTGCTTTGCATCTAACCTTATTTAGTTACTCATGGTATGTGTTTCTGACATCTATAAAATGGGCATGAGAACAAATTGCTATGAAGAAGTCTGATTTGAGGATCTAATTATATCTTTTCTGTGAATCCACCTTTTAATAGCAATTTATGGTTCCATAGCTTAAAAATGAAATTTTCAGATGCATACCTAAGACAAAGGGGAAAAACTATGAGCATCTATATTAAAGCACTACAGAACAAAAACTCAAGAAATGACTGTGCTCCTACAAGGCCACTGACTTATTGTATTATTTTGAACAATTCACTCAATATTTGTAAACATCAGTTTGTTCATAAGTAATATGAATTGCAAATATGTGGTACCTAAAACTTAACATCATAAATCTCACAACAGCCTGATGAGGCAGGCTCTATTAATAGCATAGTTTTACGGATTAAAAAAGAACTTAGACACAGAAAAGTAAAAGAACTTACCAGTGTTGTTCAGATGTTTAGTGGTGAAGCTGCAAATTGAACCAAATCAGTGTGCTTAGTCATTATCCTGTGCCACCTCTTTACTTCAAGATGTGAGAATTGGATTAGATGACTTACTAAATCCTTTCAAAATATAAAACGCTATAATTTGATAAAGCATATAATCCTCTCCTAATTTAAGACACTTCATACAGCTTCTGAAATACCTAAGTATGTGTTTGGTCTTTAGTTACGACGTGCATTCTTTGTCCACTAAAAAAAGTGAGAAGTATTTAAGTAAGAAGTATCTTCTAATCAAACAGCTTCTCCTTGTGATAATGTCCAGCATTCAATGATATCAGATCAGTCTTCTAAACTTAGATAAGCTCTTTGCTTTGTATTTTACAATTTGTATTACATGATACAATTTATTTATAGTTAAGAATGGAGACAGTTTGAGCTCATGTTTCTCAAATGTACCCCAACCCTAATGCAATCACTGTTTCAGTAAGCAGGAACTGGCTATCAATCTTTCATTTATTCATCCATGCACCTGTCTGTCCAGCAAATTTACAATGACTAATCTTATTTAAGTGCTAGGTATCAAAAGATGAATAAATCATGACGTACTTTCTCTGAAAAGCTCATGTTTTAGCTTGATACAAAGGGATAAGTTAATCAACTTGAGCAAATTCTGGATGAAAACATGTACAAAGCACAATAAAAGCAGAATGAAGGGATAGATTTTGTACTAGGGGCGAAGTGGTGGAGAGTAGTTGTAGAAAACACACCTGAAAAGGACCATGACAGATAAGCACCAGTGTTTAACAGAGGTCAAAGAAATCAGGTTTTATTCTGGGGATGGGAGGCCCAGTAAAGTAACCCAGGATTAAGGAAGGAAGTCAGCAAAGCATCATAAAGGATGTATCAGAAAGGGGAAAGCTTGGGGGCAGGGCAGCCATGTGGAAAACATTGCAGCAGGTCAGGCAGGAGATGATGATGCCCTAAATGATGATGAGTACCAGGGGGAGAAGAGAATTAAGTTGATCATGCCTCACACGTTCTCTCTTTTCTTGGGTTAGAACTCAATTCCCAAGTGACCATTTGAGAATAAACAAAGGCTTTCAATAAGACAGCTTATTTATACTAAGAATTTTTATTGTAATATTTTTTAACTTAATTTCATACTATTTTAAATAAAAAGAGTTCCATTACTTTTGGCAAATACTTAAATTCTCTGAATTCAAATGCTTCTGGGTATTTTGGACTAAATTATGCAAAATACCTTATGGTTTGGCTATTCCGTGGTTCTAGGGATTCATAGAAGAGTAACTATGAAAACAAATCTATGTGACAAATCCTAAATGAGTTTCAACTGAAAAAATATTTACTAGGTGTTCTGTGAGTGGATTGAATTTTAGGTGGTATACACCTGGTTTCTACAATTGAGATGGACACACACACACACACACACACACACACACACACACACACACAGGAACAGAGACAGAGACAGGGAAAGACTAACAAAAGAGAGAAATAATCAGAATGAAAGTTGCAGTAAGCCTGATAAACAAAAGTTGTATGAGTTCAAGGAGATATATTGTATCCCAATATAAGTAGCAGTGAGTATGTGCTAAGAGACATTCTACCACACTGTGATAGACATTAAGTTAAGCAAACACACTGAGCTGACCTGTTTTACAAAATAGGGGTAAATGAAATATCTCTGCCCTTTATCAAATTGTGCAGATTTGGTCACCATTGTGCATTGCTTATGATTAATTAGTTTGCCATTCCCCAGACAATAAGTAAATAAATAAATGACTAAATGCACTCGATATTAAACAGGGTCAGTGTATTTTCATTACATCTTCAGTTTTTCCTGTTACATAATTGTTGTGCTAATGAAGGAAAAGATGAACGAAAGAAAGAAATGCCAATTCTTTGTAGAATGAAAACAATTTTCTTATCATCCAAAGTAGTGAACTTGGGATGATAAAAATATAAAACTAAATTATTTTCTAGATTCTTTTGTTAGATGTGGTAGGACTTTTAACCTTCAGTTAGCCTTTCCATCGCAGCTCTGTTAGGCCCTTTTTGGAGAAGGGAAGAGTAAAGAATTCATTCAAGAGTGAAGAGTTCTCTGATGACACCCATGTACAAAAGGGCTATGGGTTTGGATCTAAGAATAGTACAAAGTCATAAGGTCCCACGGCACTTGCCTGGAGGTTAATTAATCGGTATTAGTACTCATCTTCCCAACTATATTTTTACTTGCTACCAATAGGCTGAGCAGATGGTAAGGACCAGAAATCTGGCACATCTTGAAAAATAATCAGATCTCATCAACTCAATTCGTTTTGGAAACTACATTAGAAACTCATTGCTGACTTAAGGAGAAACAGCTTCCTATTAATATTTGTTCTGGGAACAAGCTTCCTACTGAAAACAATTTTTCTCTGGTTAATCACCAGCACCCTCCGCTGTCCACCCCCTGCCCCACCGTCTACCCCACTGCACAACACACAAACTCCTTGTTTCCATTATCCAGTGAAATAAGTGAATATTTTTTCCTCTAAATAAAAATTTTTAATGAGCTAGGATAGACTATAGCTAGGAGAAGCCACCAAAACTGTTTCTTTTCACTTTGGCTCACTCCAATGACTTAGAACAATCTGTTGTCCCTTTAAAGAAACTCATACACATAGACACAGAAGAAAAAATGAATCCCAAATCAGTGAAGAAGAATAAAGAAAAAACATAAGGTATGTTCCATAAAGGAGCCAAATAGTCAGTCTCCTGCCAGCAAACCTGAGATGATTAATTGCCAGCTCCACAGAAGGTAGAAAGTTTTAAAACAAGAAAAGAAAAAATAGCGTGAGAAAAAAAAATTGTAAACGTTAAACCATTTAGCTTTCTCTCAAATTATTTGATAACAAATTAAGAAAAAAAGAACATTGAAGTTAAATCCAATAATGCCTTTCTGGTAGCAGGCACAGATCCAGTCATAAGTCTTATGTAACAGAACCTCTAGGTTACAGCTATCTCTTAAAGATAGCTAATATCATTATATTACTTAGCACAAAGGTGCAAAGATACTAAAGAAAATTAAGGCAATACCAAAATTTTAACTATGTATAAAAAATACAAAGATCGGCCGGGCACAGTGGCTCATGCCTATAATCCCAGCACTCTGGGAGGCCGAGGCGGGCAGATCACGAGGTCAAGAGATTGAGACCTTCCTGGCCAACATCATGAAGCCTCATCTCTACTAAAAATACAAAAATTAACTGGATGTGGTGGCAGGAGCCTGTAGTCCCAGCTACTCAGGAGGAGAGAATCAACTGAACCCGGGAGGCGGAGGCTGCAGTGAGCCGAGATCGCGCCACTACACTCCAGCCTGGGCGACAGAGCAAGACTCCCGTCTCAAAAAAAAAAATCAATGGCATATTTTGGCTTCAAGTTAAATAATTTTTGTTTTTGTTCTTTTGTTTTAGAGAGCAGTCTTTTATTTATTCATTTGTATCAATATAATTAATATATATGAATATATGTGTGTATATTATATATAGGTATGTATGTATGCGTATGTATTCATATGTGTATGTCAATTTTTTGAAAACCTTGATATGTTAGGCAGTATTGTAGGAACCGAGGGAAAAAAGTGAACAAAAATGAACTAAAATCCCAGCTTTTGTAGGGCTTATTTTCTACTGAAATAACAGATATTAAACATCAACTTTAAATAAACTATACAATATTATAAGGTGACCACTACCTTGGAGAAAAATAAGGCAGAGATGAGGGATAGGAAGTGTTGGAATAGGATGGTTTTAACTTAATATTGGGTGGCTAGGGGAGGCTTTGTTGAAAAGAGACCTTTGAGCCAGGATCCAAAGGAGTTAAGGGAGAGATCTACATGAGGAAGAGGAAACAGTAGATAAGAAGGCAGCATGTGCCTAGCATTTTTGAGTTATAACAGAACCTCTAGGTTACAGTGAGCAAGTGGAGAGTAGCAGGAGATAAAGGAAAAGAGATAAATGAGGCCAGATGATGCAATGCTCTGTAGGTAATAGTAAGTGAAGTGACATGGTAAGACCTTGGAAAGTTTTGAGCTGAAAAATGACATATTCTGATATGTCATTTATATATATATATTTTTTTCTTTTTTTTTGAGACAGAGTCTCACTCTGTCGCCTGGGCTGGAGTGCAGTGGTGTCATCTCCGCTCATTGCAACCTCCACCTCCCAAGTTCAAGCAATTCTCTGCCTCAGCCTCCTGAGTAGCTGGGGTTACAGGTGCCCACCACCACACCTGGCTAATTTTTTTCGTATTTTTAGTAAAGACAAGGTTTCACCATATTGGCCAGGCTGGTCTTGAACTCCTGACCTCATGATCTACCCTCCTCGGCCTCCCAAACTGCTGGGATTACAGGCATGAGCCACCGCACCCAGCCCTGAGTTATATTTTATGAGGGTATTTCAGGCTTCTTCCCATGAAAATAAATTAATGTAGGCAAAAAGCTGAGGCAGGAAGGCTATTGAAATAATCTAGGCTTCAAATATAAATTGTGGTGTTGTAGAAAATGTGGGCATTGATAACACCTGACAATCTTTGGTTATAAAGTGGTCATCCAGGTCCTGCTTCATTTTTTTTCTTTTTTTTTTTTTTTTAACAGGTAATCACCAACATTGAAACACTTGTTTAAAAACTCTTCGAATCTTGAAAATAAGTTCAAAGACCTCTAACAGAAGTGAGAAGTGAATAGTTCTGTTGCATACATTTAATTTTGCAGTTACATTTTTTTGTTGCTTTTAAATAAAAACACTCAAAAAGCCTAAAAAATCACCCCATCTCAGTCATGCATGGCCATCACCTAAGAGAGTGCCAGAAATGTAAAATCTGATGCTCCACCCAAGACAACCCCAATTTGTATGCATGTTAAAGTTGGAGCAGTACAGCTCTATTCCATATTAAATTTATAGACAAAAAAATGGACTTCAGATAGCAAGAGAACAAAGACTCTCTAGATTATTTACATTCATTTGTGTCTCTGGTTGTCTTAAATAGGTTTTTCCCTCTCTTTGTAACAAGATAATAACCATTGAGAGGCAAATTTCTTACACAGAAAGGTGTAATATTGTAAAATTTCTTGTAAAAGGGAGATGGGGGCTTGACTTTGCTCATTGATGTGTCTGAAGCAACTAGAATAGTGCCTCGACCAAAGTTGGTGTTTGCCAATTTTGAATAAATTAACATACAAATTTGTATGTACACCTCTCATTCTTACTGACAATGCAAACAAGCCAAACACAAGAATAGATAAATAAATGTAAATCTAAAATATAATTAATCAAAACAGTCATCTGCTTGCTTTTGAAGGCTTTGTAAGAAAGGGGTGGCAATGTAAAGATAAGACCAGATTAAATGAGCAAAATAGAATTATACTACATAAAGTCCAGTTTCTTTCTTCCTTAAAAAAATTATCTAGAAAAGGTTATTTTCTCAGTAATCTAATTTCTATTGGATCTGAGGCCACAATTAGCAGTAAAGATAAGAACATAGGTATAATCATTGGTAAGGTGGTAAGACTTTTTCCTACTTTCAATTTGAAAAGTCATGCAATTTCTGTGTCACTATTCATCTAGCTAACCTTTATTATGCTCTTATTATCAACCTCTTCTATTAAATTATCTTATCCTATATTTGGCTGGTTCTTACTAGTGATATTTAGCTTGTAACTATAAGAAGTAAGAGGTAGGAAGGAGGGAGAGAGAGAAAAAAAGAGTAAGGGAAAGCCTCTTGCCTTTACCTTATCAGGTAGAAATACAGTTTTTTATGCTAGGTTTGTAGTACTGAGCAAGACTCTATTTATTAAACACAAGGAGGAGGGAAAAGGAAGATTGCTTTAAAATTAATTCAAAATGAATCATAGCTCTAAAGCTCTGTAGGAAGATGCAAAAGAAAATCTACATATCTTCTGGATAGGCAAATATTTCTTAGAGTATACACCATAAAAGATAAATGACATGCTATAAAAGTTTGATTAATTAAAATTTATCAAAATTAAGAAGTATGCTGATTAAAAGATATGGTAAGAAAATAAAAAGGCAAGCCACAGACTGGATCTACATTGACATGGAAATCACATAGCTTTTCAAATTGAAGTTATGAAAAAAACCTTAATGTTCTATCTAATGATTATACCAATGTGCTTATCTTTAAGGAAAAAGAAACTTTAGAGTTTATAGAGTCTATAGTCTATTTTGCCCACTTAATCTGGTCTTATCCTTATATTACCAAGCCTTTCTTATAAAACCATTTAAGAACAAGCAAATTGACACAATGTAATTCTGACAGACAACTTATATTCAGATTATGTAAATAATAAAAGTTTTGAACAGATATTTTCTAATAGATGATAGACAGATGGCCAAGAAATACACAAAGATTCTCAACTAAATAAATAGCAAGAAATTTCAAGGTAAAATCACAATGAGCTACTACTTTACATTCACTACAATAGTTAAAATTAAAAAGATGGGCAACACCAAGTATTAGAAAACATTTTATCAGTTTCTCATAAGGTTATACCTACACTTATCATGACTCAGCAATTCTTCTGCTGTGCATTTACGCAAGAAATATGAAAATCTATGTCTACACAAAGACTTGCACACCAATTCATGCTACCTTTATTTAGAATAGCCAAAAACTACAAGTAATCTGTGCCATTTGTCAGTTTATTACCTCTCAACTATGAATACACTGTGCATTCACTGCTGGGTGAAAATAGAGCTGTGTGCATTAAATATTTCTCCTTTGAATAATAATACAATACTAAGATTTATCCCAGAAGATGCCAGAAGAAAGTACAAGGTGAAAGGACACTTCTTGATTTCAGCATGCCCCTCTTACCAAGCTCCTTCTACTTGCAGTTTCACTAGTGATGGGCACATGGAGAGTCTAGCTTTTCCAATGTCCAGCCCCTGCTGCATACATTTCCCCCAGTGCCCAGCCCCCAGAGTTAAGGGCTTCTCCAGACATGACTTCTTATAATGACTGACAGCCATCAGGGACCCAAATCTCCCACTATACCTCTTACCTGGGTTGGTGGACTGATATCAATAGAGTACCTCCCCAACGAACATCTTCACCTATACCCCATCAGTAGGTTTGCAGTGAGTTCCAAACACAGCATCTTTCTTGGCATGGCTTCTCCCAGCACCAGAGAGGGTATATTTTCAGCAAGTTCCATTGGTACCTTACTGTCTTCTCTATCATCCAGTGAACCACATCTATTTCTTCTCCAGTGAAGTCTGGATCTCAACTTTTGATGAAAAAATTCCTCTTCCTTGGGTACTCTATTATTTTGGGATAGTATGATTTTTCCACTGTTTATGGTTCTTATATTCATTTGAGGTCTCTCTACTTCTTGCTAGCCAATCACATGTTAGTTCTATTTTTTGTTATAGTTAATATTTTTTCATACTAAAACTTTCTCTGTTTAAACTACTGTTTCTTTCTCCTAGTTGGACCCTGACTGAAACACAACTAAATTGTCTACCAATTTTACAAGTGAATAGACAAATACATAATGGTATGTATCTGAAAGTGACTACTACTCAACCATGAAAAAAGAACAATGAGGTGATATGCAACAATCTGAAAAATATCTCAAAAACATATTGAATGAAAGAAACCAAACACAAAAGAATTCTTACCATAAAATTCCATTTCTATAACATTTTAGAATAGGCAAAGCTAACACATAGGGAGAGAAAGCAGGTCCATGGTTGCTTGAGGCCATATATAAGGGGAGGGGGAATTAACTGTAAAACAGCACAAGGTTACTGTGTAGGGTGATTACAATATTGTATTTTTTATTATGTTGGTAGTTGCATGAGCATATGCATTTGTGAAAAGTCATCAAATTGAAGCAGGTGCATTTTATTTTCTCTAAATTATACCTCAATAATTTGTTTAAAAATTAAAACAAAAATCATTATTGCACTAGTAAATATTCACTTATCGTGTTATATTAAGTATGATTGAAAGTCATGGCGATTGACTCTTCTACATCCATTTTGCCCCAGATAATTAGACTAAGCTCTTTGCATTTTGCCATCGATTTTTTAGAGAATGGGCATATGATGCAGGACTGGTCAATGAATCATGAGTTGAATTATTCCAGAAGAGGGAGTTTATGGAGAGAGTTTTCTAGCTCCTGAAAAAGTGATAGAAGAAACATAATCTTTCTTTTCTTTCTATGTTCTCATGTCTGGAAATGGATTCTGTGAATGGCTATAAACATCTGGTGGGATAAACAACCACAAATCTAACTCTCAGACAGCTAGAAGTACGTATTGCTCATGCAAATGGGGCAATTGGCAAGGCAGCTCTGTTAATGTTGGCTAGACTTAGTTATATATCTGAGGACTGACTGGGCTATTGGTTGATCCAGACATGCCTTGCTTAAGATGTCTGGGGTGACTCCATGTGTCTCTCATCCCCCAGCAGGCTGGCCCAATCATATTCTCAAGGCATAAAAGCAAGTCCTTTTCTAAAAAAACATATTTTATTTTATTTTTTAACTTCTGGGATACACGTGCGGTACGTGCAGGTCTTTTACATAGGTAAATGTGTGCCATAGTGGTTTACTGCACCTATCAACCCGTCACTTAGGTATTAAGCTCTGCATGCGTTAGCTACGTGACATATGCTAACAATCTGCCAAAGCAAGTTGCATATCCAAATCAACTTCAAGGTGCATATGCACAGAGTCCGTCTCTTGATTAAGAAGCTGAAATGTAACTTGATAAATGATGTAAAGAAAGGATGAGACAAAAATTTAAGCTTTTATTCCAGTTAATCTGCCAATTTAATTTATGCCTATCCTGTTCTAGATCTGTACTTGTCTCATGCAAAGCTGATACACATCTATCTCGGTCTCAAAATTTCCATCAAACCTTCCGTGCCCTGCTCAAATATCCTCGTCATGAATACATCTCTGATCTTCCCAGCAGGAATTAATCTTTCCCTGTCCTTTGTATCTCCACATTTCTTTTTTTTTTTTTTTTTTTTTTTTTTGAGACGGAGTCTCGCTCTGTTGCCCAGGCCAGACTGCGGACTGCAGTGGCGCAATCTCGGCTCACTGCAAGCTCCGCTTCCCCGGGTTCACGCCATTCTCCTGCCTCAGCCTCCCGAGTAGCTGGGACTACAGGCGCCCGCCACCGCGCCCGGCTAATTTTTTGTATTTTTAGTAGAGACGGGGTTTCACCTTGTTAGCCAGGATGGTCTCGATCTCCTGACCTCATGATCCGCCCGCCTCGGCCTCCCAAAGTGCTGGGATTACAGGCGTGAGCCACCGCGCCCGGCCGTATCTCCACATTTCTTTCTCCATATCTATAATTCAGCACTCCTTCTTGTATGTTATTTTACTTATTTGGGCCTCTTTTCTCCCACCATCTCAACCACTATACATTGCAAAATCTGACAGGTTGCCAAGATATTAAAAAATACTAATAGACTTCTAACAGAAGGGAATTCTCTAAATTATTACAGAAAAGAGAAAGAGGGATGACATATGTTTATGATTTCTATCCTTCCTCTCTGATTTTAGAAGTCCTTACGAAAATTTTATTTTCACTAATTTACTTTGAAAGCAGCCTCTCAAATCAAGGGTTACCAACCCATGGTACTTGCACAAACTCTGTGCAATTTCTAATTTTGGCTCACCTTGATTTCCCAAGGTGCTACTGTGTGACAGAGTTTGCATTTTCCCTCCTCTCCTTCTATCAGTTTTCCTGGTTTCCCAAGCATCCTTAGCACTGGGATAAACTAAAACTCATTTTCTTGTAATTAAATGCATTCAAAATGTAGTTCACCAAGCATAAAAACTCTCCTAATCTTCTGTCAACAAAAGCCCAATAATGCAATCTGTATGAATGAGTTGTTAAGTTTAAACTCCACAGGTCAGGTGAGTGGGCTTCACAATCAGTTTTAAAATCACTGAAGTAGGAGACATTTTACATACTATTAAAACATAGAAAATTATTTGTGAAAGTGAAATCATGTAAAAAGTCTGACTTAAGGATAGAAGTCATCATTAATGGCAGTGGGTACTTATGAAGCACCTACTGTGGCTTGGCACTGAGGTAGAGATGATAGGAAAGCTAAAAATGAACATGCATCCAATTAGCCACATATGCTATGTTCAGTGATGAGATGTGTATGAACACTTCACATTATCACAAAGGTGACTATAATCATTCATTTTCATATATGTTAGCTTTATTCCTCAACTTCTGAAAGCCACTTGTGATCCTCTGTGAACACATAACTTTCTTTTTTACCGAGAAGATGCCAAAAACGATTGATAACATCCCATTCCATAAAGATGCTCCTTCTTAAATGACATGATCAGAGTGATTTAGGGTATTTAAATGAATTGGTCCCAACCAAGACAAAATATGGATTTTACCACTTTGATAGAATTAAAAACAAGTTACTCTGGTTCTAGAATACATTTTTTCTATTACTGTGTGTATTAGTCTGTTCTCACACTACTACAAAGAAGTACCTGAAACTGGGTAATTTGTAAAGAAAATACGTTTAATTGGCTCACCGTTCTGTAGGCTGTACAGGAAGAATGGCTGGGGAGGTTTCAGAAAACTTTTGATCATGGCAGAAGGGGAAGCAGGCACATCTTACATGGCCAGAGCAGAAGGAAGAGAGCCAAGGGGAGGTGCTGCACACTTTTAAACAACCAGATCTCATGAGAATCCACTCACTATTATGAGAACAGCAAGGAGCAAATTTGCCCTCCGTGATGTAATCACCTCCTACTAGGACTCTCCTCCAACATTGGGGATTACAATTCAACATGAGATTTGAGCGGGGACACAAATCCAAACCATATCACTGTGCATTCTGAGGTTCAATTTAGAGTTTGATTTATTATTATTTTTTAAAGAGACAACTGCTGCCTTTCAAAGGATCATTTTTTATGTTACAATTTTGGTACAAGAACACAGAGCAGTAGTGTGGATAGATGCTACTATACTGGATTATCCTCAAATTAGAGATGAACAGAGGGACAAGGATTTACTTGATAAGCCCAAGTTCATACTGGTACGCCTGGGAATAAAAGTGAGAGTTTCTAACTTTATGCTCAATGCCCTTTTCAATACAAAAGAGCTCTGGTTACTTTTATCAAAGCAGAACAGCTGAGAATCTAATTATGCGCTAAAGGTCTCAGACAGATGTGCTCTTTTCTTATATTTTGAAATTAAATCATCTCTGGATTTTATGGCAAAATATCATTATCAAACACTAATATTGTGTATACAGTGTACATATTTTGTTTGTTTTGTGGCTACCTTTGTCTCAACAACTTTAGCGAAGTTCTATTTTCACTATATTGGCATTTTCACAAATAATAAGGTTTCACAGTTAACTCGTGAACCTGAAGAAAATGACTGGATATAGAACCAAAAAACAATTCAGACAGAATAACAAAATGCTGATTGTTTGATTATGGTGATAAATGTATGATAATGATTTTCTATGATCAAGGACAATGCATCTGAAAACTGGCAGTCATAGTTCAGTCTAGTGTTGCTTTTTATTAGGTGTGGCTTGGGCTAAGTTATTAAACCTTCTTTATGTCTTAGTGTACTACTTTATAAAGTGATGACAAAAGCAATACCTACCTCATAAGCTTGTAGTAGATTAGATGAGCTAATATATGTAAAGCACTTAGAATCATGTCAAGCGTATAAATAAGTACTCAATAATAGTTGGATATTTTTATGGCCCTAGTATGAAAGCCCACAGGAATTAATTATATTTATTTTTTAAACTACAACTGAGATAGATGTTCTTTTTCCATATTTGTTTTACAAACTGTCCTATGTCTTTTTATCAATATTCTTTTACTCTCAGAATTTATGAAGATAAAAACAGGCTTACAGAAAATTATGCAGCCCTTTTTCATGAAAGATTGTGAAAAAAATTCTAGAGGAATAACCATTATTTAATGTTAAATGTCAGAACTTTGAAAATCTAATAAACTCCAAGTTATGGAGAGTAAGGGTGAGTTGTTATAGCTTTACTCTTCAATGTGGGACCTGCAAAAGTGTTTAAAGATAAATAACAGATGCAGAACTGTGAAAAGTGGTTGATGAGTTAATCAGATTTTCAAGGAGCTAAGAGGCACTATACACTGTGACCCATATCTAAGGAAATGGAGAATTAACCAAAGGGTTTACAACTGGTTCATCATAATCAAACCTTCATTTATCTTCTCTAATTGTCCTTTTCATTCTCCTCCTTTTCATTCTTATGTAGTCATCTCTCCTTCCCATTCTTTAATCCCCTCTTTTAATTGCATTCCTTATTTTTCATTTTATTCTCTTTAATATTTTTATCTCATCACCTTCCTTCTATATCATTTTGGTATACTCTAATGTCCTAGAGAATAATAAAAGATAGGTATTAGTATTTTTAAATAAGTGTATATTTCTTTTTCTTATTTTTTATAATTTATATACTACTGAGTATATGTCTCTTACAAATGATTCCTTATTTCTATTTGACTCTTGGCTATCTCAAAAGAACCTATAAAACTTTGCCATAAATAACCTCCCAAAAAGGTAAAGTCTAATTTGCACTTAGGATGAAGGTAATCTTGATTTTACTAGTTTTCTCAGCTTTTCTAATTCCTACTCCCACTTTTATATTAAAGAACTGCCATGATGTTCATTTGGCATTTGCTCTTCCCTTGAGAGCCTAGGAGGTAATACTTACAAAGTAAATGATAATTTCCTGTTTCTCTGCTACTGTCTGATCCTGTTCCTTGGGGGTCAGTAAAACACATGGTCAAATTGATTTTTTGAGGCCCCCAAATCTAAAGTCTTTGTGATATTTCAGATAATCCTTTGATGCCATTGTGGTTTGTGAATGCTAAATGGTATTTTTGATCTATGCCAGTACTGATGCCTAGTCAGAATGTCATTAACTTTCTCCTTTGCTGAAAACTTTCATAGAAAGCCACATGGAGGTGATACATCGTTTTGGAAATAGTTAATTAGCAGCCTGCTACTCCTTGCAGTTCTCTCCAACAAGGTCATACACATTAACAGACATATTTTGTGGCACTAAGTCGCCATAAAATTTAGTTTGAAAATTTTATTTCAGTATGGGTATTGGTCTTTTACTTAGTATGTTCGAAACAAAAAAAAATGTGTATAAAGATGTCAAATATTCAGCACATTAATAGAAGAGTAAGGCACATGCTTTAGAAATGTGAAAAATATACCAAAATGGTCTTTCACTCCTTCTACATTAAAAATACTAACTTCAGGGAAGAAGTCATGTTTTTATAAAAGATGGTTTAAAAAATTAAAATATATGTGATATGGTTTCAAAAATGGCTAAGGCATAATTTTTAACCCATAAGTAATGGAATTTTAAACATAGATGTGTGTGCTTTATTGAAAAATCAATAAAAATTCTCTCGTGCACTTGTCATTAAGGAGTGTATGAAATTGACACAATCAACACAGACAATAACCAGTAGTGATAACAAGCAGTGTTCCATACAATGACATATACAACTATCATTACTGAGAATAATGACAAAAATTATGATGATACATAGATTCTCAAGAGTCTGAGGAATTTAATGTTTTGCCACATACCAGATATCTTACTCTAGTTCTCTTTAATTATCTTAAAACAATCTAACATTTCTCAAATTTTGGTTAGCTTTTTATTATGCTTGTTGACACAAAAGAGGTACATGAAATGAATTCACGAACACACCTATCAGAGGAAATTATGCTCACATGATGGGAAAAAATATGATGAACACAAATGAGTGACGAAATGGGGATTATTACCAACATTCTTGGTGCTGAGACTTTATCATTTTAACAATCAGTTGCTGGTGCCAAGTGAAATAGGTTAGACACAAAAGGAAAATTAGGAAATTGCTCATGTCTTCAATATTCTCAGCATCTATTTGGAGGAAAAATATAGAAATGAGACTACTTCTAAATTGCATGATTTATTAGAGGCAAAATTGGATTACAGAAAAGTGGCGGTATGACTAGGGTAAGGTAGATGAAAAGATTAATATGAGTGGTGAAACTTTCTAAGCAATAGTAATGTATTGCTAGGTTTCACCTAGATAGAGAAGTAGAATGATTCCATATTAGGGGAAAAGAATGCTAGAGGCAATAAGAAAAAGTGAGAATAACTGTCGTACATTCTGGGTATGTTAAAAGAAGTTCCAGTTTTATCCAAGGGAGATTTCGATACATAGAAGAGAAAGGATGAAATTTGGAATTCAAAAGGCCTCATTTGAATTTTTTTTTCTGCTTCTTACCACCTGTATGACTTGAGCAAGTTAACTGATATCATTTAGTCTTAATTTTTCTCATCTGCAAATTAGAAGAACTAATAAATAATTTAAAAGTATTTATAGGGAATATATGAGGTAACAAATATAAAAATCCATAACAATATCTGAAAATATGATAGGAAATTCATAAATTTTTCTAATGATCCAAACTTGAATGAGTGGACAAAAATGTTAAAAACTGTGCTTATGTTGTGGTTATAGATTGGGAGATTCAACGCAGTAAAAATGTCAGTGGTCCTCAAATAAATATAAAGTTTTAACATAATTTTCATCACATTCCCAGTAAGCAGAAATAGATTATTCTAAAATGTATATAGAAAGGCAAAGAGGCTAAAATAGCTCAAATAATTGTAAAAGAGAAGAAGAAAGTCAGAGAAACCAGTGTAACCAATTTCAAGCTTTATCATATACTACAGTAATCAAGGCTGTGGTAGTGCAAGAGGGACAGACACATAGATCTATTGGAATAAAATAGGCATTGTGGAAATCAGCCCAAAAAAATTTATCACAGAAATATGCCCAACATATTTTTGACAAAGGTTCAAAAGCAATACAGGAGTGGAAGAATAGCATTTTCAACAAAACAGTACTAGAGCAATTCACCATCAATAGGTAGAAAACTTAAACTTTTTAAATTTAAAACTTATATTAAGTGTTATGTGTTATACAAAAAATAACTTAAAATGGATCAATGACTGCTGAGGTTTAAATGTGTCCTCCAAAGTTCATGTGTTGGAACTTACTCCCCAGTGCAACAGTGTTAGGAGGTAGCTCCCAATGGGAGGAACTTTGAGCCAAGTAAACCTCTATTGTTTGTAAATTGCCCAATTTCAGTTATTTTGTTACAGCAACACAAAATGAACTAAGACAATGACTTGAATATAAGATATAAATTCATGAAAAATTTAGAAATTATATAGGAGAAAATCTTCAGAGTTTGGGATAAATAAGAAGTTAGAATTTATACCAAAAGCATGACAGGAAACATTGATAAATTGAAGTTCATCAAAATTTAAAACTTTAGCTCACCAACTACCTGGTTAAGAGATAAAAAGACAAACTATAGATTGAGCCAAATATTTGCAAACCACATATCCAACAGAGGACTTTTACCTAGAATACCTAAAGGATTCTCAAAACTCAACAGTAACACGAAACAAAACAACAACAAAAAAATTCAATAAGAAAACTTCCAAAAGACTTACACAGATATTTCACAGAAGTGGATACACAGATTTGTATAAGGAGCAAATTAATACATGAAAAGATATTCAACGCCATTAGCCAAAAGAGAAATTAAAATTAAAACCACAAGAAATTACTACATATCTATTGTAAAGGCTAAACTTTTTTAAAAGTCACAATGCCAAATTCTTGCAAATATATGAAGAAACTATAATAGATCAGTCATAATTTGCTAGTGGGAATATAGCATTGCAGCTATTTTGAAAAATAGTTTTCCAATGTGAAAACAAAAACAAAAACAAAAAACACTAAACATGCAGCTAACATGCAACCAAGCAATTACACCACTGGGCATTTATCGTAGACAAAAAGTTACGATCACACAAGAACTTATACATGGAAATTTATGGAAGTTTTATTCATAATACTCCCCAAATGGAAACAACTCAGATGTCCTTCAAAGGATAAATGGTCAAAAACAAGCAAGCAAATAAACAAAGGAAAATAACTTAGGTACATCTATATAGTGGAACACTATGCAACAAAGAAAAGAAGCAAACTATTGATATTTGTACCAATGTAGGTGAGTTTCTAAACAATAATGCTGAGTGAAAAAACAAATCCAAAAAGGCTACATAATGTATTATTGCGTTTACATAACATTCTTGAAGTTACAAATCATAGAAATAGAGAATGGATTAAGTGATTTCCTGGAGTTAAGTACTGGGAATTAAGGGTTGAGGGGTACGTGGTATGGTGAAAATAAGTTCAGTGTGGCTATAATAGGTCAACAGTCAGAATGCTCCTGGTGATAGAATGTTTTGTATATTGACTGTGTCAATATTAATATCGTGATTGTGATATTATAAGCAGAATCTTACCGTATAATTGTTTATAACTGCGTGTGAATCTACAACTGTGTTAAAATTTGGAAGTTTAATTTGATTACAAATATATTACAAGAATTATTTAATTTGTTGTTTTCTATTTCATCTAAAAGTTTGGCCATTTCAGTTTGCAGAGAGCTCTAATCCAAAAGTTTACTCAGTTATCCAGTTCCTTTTCATTTTTTGTTGTCTCATACCTGATCTTTAATTCCTTTTCATATTCCTTCTCTGCATAGCAAAAGCTTGATTGCTGCAATATTCACATTCAAACACTGACAACAAGGAAGTAAGAAAGATAAAGTAAAAAATTTCTGCTTAAGCAAGTGTGGTAGATTTTCTTATTTAATGATGATTATTTGTTACCTCTTGTCTCTTATATCTTTCCATGTTTCCCTGTAGGTGTTGTGTATTCTTCAGCCACTTTTACTTTAGATTTAGCCCTGTGCCTTTCTTTGGTCAATGTAATGTAGCCTCAGCTTGCATTCATTCCTTACCTCATATTCCATCCATCCACTTGAGAATTGCATGTCCCAGATAGTGTCAGCTCCTCTAGACTTGGTTCCTATAATGAGAAGACAAAAGGTGGTCATCTTTAGCTGATCCATAGCTCTTTTGAGATATGATCAGAAATAAATGAATCATGAGATATCCAGACAGTTTGTTACCATGAACAAATTGTGTTGTTTCTTGGATGAGTGACACAAGTAAGATGGAAGTTGCTTGCCTATTTCCACTGAGGATGAAACTAAGATACAAGAGGGGCTGAGAAATAAGTTTTGGAAAAGAATTTGCATACTCAGGAGTAACTAAATCTGGTGGAAAATAAGGTGTCTTCTAGTAACCAATAGTCATACTGTACTTTTGCTCCACTAATCCATCTCCAAACTATATAAGGGACCTTATTTTTTTTAAGTATGTTCTAGAAGTGCTATTATTCCTGTAGCCAAATTCTTTTAAATGTTCATAGTAGCAGGCAGAATTCAAAATTAGGGCAGATAAAAGAAAAATGATGAAATTATGTGAATTATTGAATAATTATATGAATAATGTTAGAACAAGCTCTTATAAAAAAAATGAAGAACTGCATGTATGAGAAATGCAAAAACACTCTTAAAGCTCGTATTTACAATAGTGATTTGAGAAATAATTTATTTATATTTATTCTAACAGCCAACAAGTAAAATGCTCTGCCATGTATCTACTTAACAGAAAAAGCTTTTCAGTTGTTGACAAAGAATGTAAATTAGCCAAGTTAACTCAGGCTTTTAGAAAGCTCAACTAAAATCTCAGAAGTCAAATTTTGTTTAAACTTTAAACTGTCAGAATATATGAAATCTCTTCCCTTTCTCTGAGAGGTGATGCTGCTTATATTAGATGAAAATGCAAAAAGAAGTAGATGTTGCCAAGTGTTATAGGCATAAGAGTGCAAGAACACAAATGCTAGAAACAATATCACAGCTCATTTTTTTGATAGAATATAAGTGCAAAATTGTTAGCAGGTTATTCTTCAATTTAAGGCAACAAAATCAAATATATATAAGGCTTTTCAATCACTCCTGAAATAAATATAATTTTAAAGCTTGCAACATTTAGTCTTTTAAGAAAAGAAACAAGTTTTTTAAAATCTTAGTGAAAGAGGTACTCTTAAAAGTGGATAAACAGTAGGTAAATAAAAATGCTTTTGCTTTCTGTCTGCAGCTACAACTCCACACTGAAAACAGTCTTAAAAAAGGCATAATGAGAAACATTCTTAAAGAATATGAAAAATACACACACATGCACGTAACATACACACACACAAGTGAAATACTCTGCTGTCATCTACTTATCAGAGATACAGTTTATACTAGCTTAAGATAAATAGATTTGTATGGTCTTTCATTAATTTAGATTTTAAACTAAGTTGGTGCTGCGCCCATCCTAAAAGAGGAAAAACAAATATTGGTATATTGAATTAAAACAATATAATTGCAATGAGAAATAAAAAATATAAATACAACAGGATGGTTTACTTACATAATTGGCCGAATATAGTGAATTTAAACACAGAAATGTACTAATAGAAAATCTTAGGAAATCTTTTCTTTTTAAAGACGAATTTTAGAGATTATTATATTATTTACACATCAATTTTAAGCATAAAGACAAAAATAGAAAATCAACCTTTAAAATGTCATAACAGCAACTCCCAAGAAGAGATCAATAATAGATTTAGTGAAATACTCCCTCAAATGTGTTACAGTTGTTAAAACTAATTGAAGATTAAAATTTAGCTCCAGCATTCAGTCAAATGTAGAACATTTTAACTAAAGATAATAGAATATTATACATCTAGTCTTGGATCTGACTCTGTCATTTCTGAGTATATGATAAAAGTGATGAGCAAATGCCAGTGAAACATCATGTTTATGAAAAGTTTTTAAAGAGCAATAAATCGATGTTTACAATGTTATGGTCATTATAGAGTGCTGATATGTAATAAATTTTATATTTCAAAATCTTGCTGGAAATGTTAAATAAGAATAGTTTTGTATCGCATTGCTTGGCAGAAATCCCATTCAAGACAGCATATGTTAGGACTCTGCCATGACTCAGCATTCATATGTTACTTCTTAAATCATATAAAAAATAAGATGAGAGTTGTGAGATAAATCATCTTGTTTTCTGTTTATTCCTCATTTTTATGTGAAAAATAATCAAATACTTGTTGAGGAAACATGCACAACTTTACACTAAAATTTTATATAGCATATAAAAATGACTGAAATTTTTTCCTAGCCTTTAGTTACTTTATGTATAATAGAAGGCATAAAGACGAACAACACATATGAAATAAAATCTATAAAAAAAAAAACAAGCATCTCCCTGATGAAGTCAAGGACTATACCTTTTTAATCTTTGTTTTCTTGGTACACAATATAAGACATTTATTCGATATATGTTTGTTAAATAAACTAATGAAAATGATGCTTGGATGTAGACTTTCGATTTCTCAATTATTGGTTGAGGGACTATCTACACATAGTAGCTGAAATATTTCTGCAAATAATCTTTACTACTTCTCCAATTTTTTTATTCAATTGTTTGTATCATTGTGAACTTATATTTTTTTCTTATGTACATTGGGTTATAATCTATGACTGTCCTGTTAATTTTGTTTGTTCAAATTTTTCCAGACTAGCCGTTGTGAGTTCTTCCAAATTGATTCTTATATGCCTTTAACATTCCCCTATCTTATCTTTCTGTTTTTTAAAGCACATCTTTATTTGCTTCAGGCCCATCTTATATTTTCCTTTTTCCAGCCGTGGAATCAGCCATTTATCCAAGAACCCCTTGGTTCCTTGTAGTAAATCAAAAATAAGACAACATAAAAAATTTTTAAAAGTTACACATAGGCAAAAATGTGACCTGATACTTCTCAAAAGAATATTCACTAGTAAAAGAAATGCAAATCATTATCACTACACACATATAAGAAAAGCTAAAACAAAAAATGACAGACCACATACGAAGTTCTGGTTAGGATGTGGAGCAACTCTAACTTCAGAGACATTGCTAGAATAAATGAAAAATTGAACAGCCACTGTGGAAAACATTATGGCACTATCTCGTGAGCTTTTATATGCACTTACCATACAACTCAGAAATTTCATTTTTGAGTACCAACTCATGAAAAATAAACACAAAGGCATACAGAAAGACTTGTACACTGAATGTTAATGATTTATACTAGCTAAAACAACCCAATATACATCATCTAGTGAATAAACAAATTTTGAGATACTCATACAATGCTATGGTAACTAGCAATAGAAAAATAACAAAATATTGGTCCAGGCGTGGTGGCTCATGCCTGTAATCCCAGGACTTTGGGAGGCCAAGGCAGGTGGTTCACCTGAGGTCAGGGGTTCAAGACCAGCCTGACCAACATGAGTAACCTCTTCTCTACTAAAAAATACAAAAATTAGCCAAGCATGGTGGCAGGCACCTGTAATCCCAGCTGCTTGGGAGGCTGAGGCAGGAGAATCGCTTGAACCCGGGAGGCGGAGGTTGCAGTGAGCCAAGATCGCACCCTTGCACTCCAGCCTGGGCAATGGAGCAAGACTCCATCTCAAAAAAGAAGAGAGGAGAGGAGAGGAGAGGAGAGGATTAATACATGCAACAGCATGGATGGTACTCAAAAATATTATGCCAAGTGAAAGAAGTCAAACACAAGTTACACATGCTACATGGTTCCATTATGTGACTTTCAAGACAAACTACAGTGACAGAAACAGATTAGTGATTGTCTGTAGTTGAATACTGGAGAAGGGATTGATTGCAACAAAGCATAAGTCAACTTCTTAGGGTGATAAAACTATTTGATATTTTCATTATGTTGGTGGCTAGATGATTTTATATAATTACAAAAATTTAAGCCTGATTCTAGAATGTTTTCTACATTATCTACATTTCAAATGTAGGTTATGTTTATTGCATATAAATATGTCAGTAAAAATAAAATAAGTTAGCTGTAGCTGCGCAATAATAAAATTATGTTACTATCTTAAGAAAATGTACTCTGGATATCACTTTACTTACATACCTAAAATTTAGTCTTTCAAATATCTTTTGGAAAGAGGAAGAGAGAACTTTTTTAAGCTGTCACATTCTATTTATCTGCTATTCTTTATAGTCAAACTTCTCAAAAGATGTGTATTCATACACTTTTCACTCCACTTTTTTCTCTTATTCACATTTTAATCTACTGCCATTTGGCTACACTTCAATGAAATTCCACTTATCAGTGTTACCAAAACCCAAATGTTTAGGGACAATTCCAATGGACTCAAACTCTCATCTGTATTCAACTGTCAGTTGCCCCTTATGTCTTGAAACATTCTCTGTCTTTGTTTCCATGACACTGTAGAATCCTGATTTTTCCCCACCTGTTGGCTGATCTTTACAATTGTCTTCCAAAGATCCATATTCACCGTCTAAGTGCTGAAGTGCTTAAGGACTCAGTACAAGGCCCTCTTCTCATCATGTATTTCACCTTTGGTCATTTCAAATTAGAATCTCTGACATAGACCCCTCCTAGCTTCAAATCCAAATATCAAGTTATCTCCTTAATATTCTTGACATGGATATAACATTCTCAAAATTAACAGTTACACAACTTAATTCTTTATTCTCTTCTCACCCTTTTCCTCACCATCCCTCTTTTCTATCACTGTATTAATTTATCCCATGCACTTCCATCTAAGCAAAAGCAACACCATATACTTTAGTAATCAAGCCCCATCCTGACTTTCACCATTTCCTGGTGCCTCATAATCAGACTATCAACAAATTTATTTTTATATCATTATAAAATATATCCCAAATCCCTTTAGTTTTCACCCTTTCACTGCTACAAGCAAAGTACAAACAAGCTATTGAAACAATAGATTCATAATCAGTTTTTCTGCTTCTACTCTTGCTCTGTTTCATTTCATTCCCCAGAAAGTGGCCAAATTAATATTTAAAACACATAAATGAAATTAATGTCATCTACTATCTTACTTATCACTTACAATAAAATTAAAACTTCTTACAGACCTATGATGCACGGCATAAGCTGCCTTTGCCTTTCTCTGCAATCTCATCTCATCTCACAGCCTACCTTGTTCAGTACACTTCAGTCACACTGGCTTTTTCTCAGTTCACGTGCTATTCTCAGGTTTTCCCTTCTTCAAGTATGTTGCTTTGTTTGAAATATAAACCCTGCTACTGTTTACAGAGGTTTCTCTGTCTCAGCCTTCCATTTTCAGCTTATGTTCCATCTTTAGAGAAAAAAACTCTGAATTTTTCCTTTCTTTTATGCCATGCTGCTTATTTCCTTCAGACCACATCATACAATAAATAAAACTTTATTTGTGTCTTTACTTATATATTGTCAACCGGTCTTTCTAGACTGTAGGCTGCATGAGAGCATGTAATGTATGTATGTATACGTATCTTGTTTCCCACCATGTAGTAATCATCTAACATGGGGCATGGTCATATTAGCTACTCAGTAAAGATTTGTTCATTGAAAAGTTTTGCATAAATTTAAAGAAAAAATGTTTCTAGACAGTACTATATATATTTTCATTGTAACCATTAGGAGTATTGGAACCATTTTTTCCAAATATAATAGTGGTATTGTATATTATGACCCAAATTCATTTTTCTAAAGTAAAATGTAATTTTCTGTTCTACCTTTTATAAACTCAATGAATGATTTTTATATTATATTCAGTGGATTATTTAAAGTCTCCAAAATCCCATGAGAATGCAGATGGGAAATATATAAGTAAGAAAGAATAGAGGGATTGTATAAGAAAGAAAAGAAAGACAAAATGAAGAAGGAAGTAGAGAAGAAGGCAAAAGGAAAGACAAGGAAAAGATGCTACTTAACTATAGAGGGTTAAAATGTGAACATTTTTAAAATTCGAATAAAAAACATGGTTATCTAATATACATGTTCTCTAGTGCCAGTTGGATTTGCTCAACATTTTCCCAAAATAACCAAAGGAAAGTTTAAAGGTAATATAAACTTTAAAAATAATGGCTCTATTTTTGGAAAGGGCAAAGACAAAGAACTGTTAATGTTGCCACAGTATTGAGATTCTTTGGACATGTACCAATATTTTTAGGCTACTTGACAAGAAAAGCTACTTATATGCATATAATTATGCAAATTTCATGTGAAAGACCTGAAAATATGACCCCTTGTAAAAGTGCACATTTTTAGACCAATGGACCTGTGATCAAAACCATCATTATACAAGCTATAATCACATTTCTTTTGCAGCGGATGCAAATTATCCTTAAAGGTTCTTGGCAATGCATTTATTTGGAATAGGGACAAACTCAGACTTTCAAACACAGGTTTTTCTCTTGTGCATTCCCCTCAGTTCCCCATCATTTGTCTGCCATTTTCTCTTATAAATAGATCAGGAAAGACTTCCAAATCTTATTTTTTTAAAAATATGTGTAAGAATCCTTGTCTACATTTGTCTGGAGATAACCATGATTCCCCTGCTTCGCTGCCCAAGAACAGCAGCTTTTGTTTTTTCAGAACAAAAAATCATTTTTGAAATCTTTTTTTTTAAGATAATAATCTGAAATAATGTTACAGGCCTCTTCACAAATGTTGGCCAGGCTATATTATTATAAAATGATTATTCATCTCTTTAGTGTAATGAAGTATAATAGTATACTTAGAGCATATTATTATAAAATGATTATACATCTCTTTACTAAATGTATATCCTATGTATAGTAGGGTATACCTTTAGTACTGTGTTGAAGCACTATCATATTTCCCTCACTAATAATTTGAGCATTCATGAAAAGCATTATTAAAGTAGCAACTAGTACTCAGTGGGTGTTAACAGAGCAAGACCTGTTTTCCATAGTTGCTACCGAATTAGTAAAATATTTAATCTATCTCCAAAAAACACATAAAAATATATAAAATTTTGACTTGATGATCCCCCCAAATATGTCTGTTTTGGCACTATCAATGTCCAATGAGACTTCTTAGCACTTAGGAGCCCCAGGAGACACTATTTGAGGCTATTTTGCCTGTCTTCAGATTTCAGTCTAGCACTCTCACCTGCTACAGGAAATCCTGAAGAAAAGGGAAGATGTCTCCAATGATGATTAATATCACTGACATGAATTCCTGAAGCTAACTGCTGCTGAAAGAGTGGCCAGGAGTAACCTCTCTAGTGTAAAAGCAATAGTGTGTTCATATTCCAATCTTTAAGTTAACGTTCATTTGGAAGTAATATTCCCAAAAAAGGATCAGTTAGTCATTCACTGTCCACTGTTGGTTTTAATAATAAATGCAGCATAATGAGAAAAAATTACTACTGCTTTGAAGCACTGTCACATTTTCCTCAGTAATAATTTGAGAATTCACTGAAAATGCTATTAAATAAGCTACAACTATTGCTTAATTGACAATAATACTTCATTTATCCAATATTACTCAAAAATACTGCATTCCACTTAAGATTTGTCAAGTAACTGAGGCTTAGCCTTCTAATCAGCCAATGTCATTGGTAATAAACATCTTTATGAAGTGAAAAGAAGAGTTGTCTGACATCTTGAACCACAGAAGCAACCAATTGTGTTTATTTGATGAAGGAACAGGTTTATCTTACCTATTATCACAGCAGCAGTTTTGTTGCATGCTGCATAGTGAGACATGGAGGTCCTGTGGAGCTGTGCAATCTTTCTTGCTTCTGCACTATGTCACTCTAGATGTTTCTGGCTATTGGCTTTCAATGACTGCTTTTGTACAAAAATTTACTTTTTCATCTATTTTAATGTCTATGATGAGATACTGATAATACCTTTATATAACCTGAGGGATGTTGTATTAGTCTGTTTTCACACTGCTATAAAGAGATACCTGAGACTGGGTAATTTATAAAGAAAAGAGGTTTAATTGACTCACAGGTTCACATGGCTGGGGATGCCTCAGGAAACATACAATCGTAATGGAAGAGGAAGCAGTCAGCTTTTTCACAAGGTGACAGGAGAGAGAAGAGCAAAAGAGGAACTTCCAAACATTTATAAAACCATGAGATCTCCTGAGAACTTACTCTCAGGAGAACAGTATGGGGAAAACCACACCCATGATCCAATCACCTCCCTCCCTCAACACATGGGGATTACTGGTCCTTCCCTTGACACATGGGAATTACAATTTGGATGAGATTTGGGTGGGACACAGAGCTAAACTACATCAGATATGTCACAATAAGAGTAAAATTCCAATCCTTTCTGGCTTTCTAGTTGTGAGAAAGTCTCTTATTTTTCAACATGAGTGAGTTTGGGAAGGAAGATCTGGTATCCTTGCAGCTAAAAATGTGTGTATGTATGTTAATAGAGGTCCAAAAAAGAGTATTATGACATCAGAAAGATTTTTAACATTATTCAAAGCAGTAATAGGGAGCTAGGTGAGAGGCAGGATCAGACAGGCAATCATCAACAACATACTCTGAATTTAAGAATGACCACCACACAGTAAGAGAACTGGAATTTGGAGGAAAACTTCAGCTCTGTGAGTTCTGTGTCTCCCTGATAAACCTACCCTACTCCTCAGCAAACACACAAATGAATTAGAACATTAATAAATGTAGTGCCTTAGGCTAGAACTCTGGAAGCCACGGATTATATAATCAGAATTTTTTTCAGTAGTTCACATGAATTCAGATTCCATTTCTAAGATAGAATCTTATTTAGGGGACAAATTTAAATATATTGTAGTTTGTTTGTTTTTTTTCTTGAGACAGAGTCTCGCTCTGTCTCTCAGACCGGAGTGCAGTGGCACAATTTCGGCTCACTGCAACCTCCGCCTCCCGGGTTCAAGCAATTCTCTGCCTCAGCCTCCCGAGTAGCTGGGATTTCAGGCACCCGCTACCAAGCCTGGCTAATTTTTTTGTAATTTTAGTAGAGAAGAGGTTTCAACATCTTGGCCAGGCTGGTCTTGAACTCCTGACCTCATTATCCACCCGCCTCGGCCTCCCAAAGTGCTGAGATTACAGGCGAGAGCCACCGCGCCAGGCCTATTGTAGATTTTTGAAACCACAGAAGATCCTATTGTGTTTTAGTCCAAGACTGGATAAGGGAGGTGAGAATCCACAGCAATTTTTGTGAATAGTGTTTTCTTGATCAGAAGTGTCAGAGAGCTTATTTTGGAAAACATGATTTTTGAAAGAGATGAGACTAAAGAGAAAAATGGGTGATAAAATATATCAATTTTAATTTGCTTTTTAATTTTTTTAATGTTTTAAATACTGAATTACAAATAATTTATTAGAAATGTGTTCCTATTTTAGTATCCCAGCTAGTCTTAGCCAGTCAATTTTTGCTTTTGTAGTAATAGAGATATAAAGAATCAAAACTACCCTACTATTTGTATAAATGTGTTTTATAGATTATTGGTACAAGAAATAACTAATATGCTACTTAAAAATGTTGATATTTCTGCCTGTCTCCCATAGATTGGTATTCAGTAGCTGGGTAATAACCCAAAAAATGTATGTGTTTAATAAACAACCCAGTGTGATTTTTGTGGATTGAAATTAGAGAGTCACTTAACTGTATTTTGTAATTGGTGATATTTAACTGAACCAGATGAAGAATTTATTCTTACCATCTCAGAGAAGAGGTTTGATATGTAATTATATGATGCAGATAGGTAATGAGAAAGTATTTTAATTTCCTTAGGAAATTTTCGATTCGATATTTTAGCACCATTTAAATGGAAAATGGATGCTGTTAATTTCAAATAGGTCTCATCTAGTTATTGAAGGTGATCCAGCTGAATCTCTAATTATAAAATGCTTGATAGCAGTTAATTAAACTGAGTGTGTAAAAGAAATAAAATGGTATATAGTTGGAAATTATAAATCATGATTGTCATGATTTGAGTCAAATTTTTCCAAATCTGTTCTAATTAATAAGGTTATAAAAATGAGAAAATGCCTCCAATATGTTCCCTTTATCTAGAGATTTCAAGGCATCAAATTTTACACATAATATATA
The DNA here is from genome assembly GCF_000001405.40 of Homo sapiens. Taxonomy (NCBI): domain Eukaryota; kingdom Metazoa; phylum Chordata; class Mammalia; order Primates; family Hominidae; genus Homo; species Homo sapiens. The sequence goes on from NC_000002.12 coordinate 51,990,003, forward strand.
AAATTTATATCGTATCAATTTTAATATAACTTAATTTATATGTATATTTCAGTTTTACATCTCAGCATGCATCCAAATATCTTATTCTCCTTCTGTAGTATAAACTCAGGTTTTTAAAAATATATATATTTAATGCATTTAATATGTTATTCTTGTGGTGTTACTGAAGATAATTTAAAAGATAATAGGGGAAATTATCCCTGAGTAATTACTATATAATATTTTCTTATCTGCCATAAATAGAGAAAAATGGGGTGGGAGATTCAAAACCTCAAAAAACTCAAAATTAGAGTAGATGTATGGCAAGATATTCTGTGTAACTATTTTCTATATTTCATATAATTGATTATTACATTCACACTCACATGAAATAAAACACTCCTTACCAATGAATTCGTGAATTTCTGTAGAAGCATGTAAAAAAATCAGGAAAGAAAGAATAAAAGCTACATTTAAATACTTGCACCTTTATTGTAGTTTTATGTTTGTTTCTATACATTTGTGTCAAGTTTCACCAAGGTTTGGTAAGGGAAACAAAAAAATACATTAAGCATTTCAACAGAAGACACTTTATATAAGGTATCTAATCCTTTTTTGTAAAATATGGCTCAAACCTTTATTGATGGGGCTTTGTAAGGCTGTTGCTGGTACCTGGCTGGGAGTAGTGGGAGGGAGGGATAGGGTGTTGATGAGACTCTTTATAGGAACTCTTAAAAAGGCTAACATCTACAACCAACTGTCTCTGCTAGGTGAAGTGTAGTTGGCTGAAACAAACTTCTACTAGTGAGAGAAACTCTCCCTGCAGATGCTATGCTGAAGAGAAAGTACAGTTGCTTCTTCCTGCCTGCCTTCCAGTCCTCTATGCCCTCTGTTGACAAAAATTAACTGGAAGCCAGATGGCAAAGGTGTCTGGGGAATGTAGTTTGCAGAGTTCAGTCACAGCACCATAGATCACAAAAGAGTGAGTTTGAAACTAAAGGAAAATAAGTAGTAGCTGATGGATGCTGTCTCCATAAATGTTCAAAAGGACACCATTATATATTTGTGATCATCCTTATGTAAGTGTCCTGAGATAAAAAAATAAATAAAAGGCCAGTTAGAGACAGATGAACATGTAGAAGATTTTATACTTCCTGCAAAAAGGCAAGAATAAATTCTTACTTTAACACTGGCCACATTTTTCCTTACGGTTACCTGACTGCACCCCTACCCCACATTAAAATGTGAGTTTTCTATGTGATCTTAATATTCCTGGTGCATAGCATGTCTGGGATACGTTAAGTGTCAGGAAATGTTGAATGAAATGAGGACATGGATTAACTCAGAATGTCATCTCAGGTTTGAAGATAATAATAGCATATCTTTTCATAACACTAAAGGAATGAAATTTTCTGCTGTTCCTTCCTAGCTTCTACTTTTAACTAAAATGAAAAGAACACTCTTCCAATTAAATATTAAAAGAATTCAAAAATATTGCAAGTAACGTTTAGCCAAAATGAGAAGACTAAGGATAAAAATGTAGAAACTTTTTGTGCTAATTACTTTTGATTATATAACATTGAAAACAAATTGCTTATTTTAAATTTAGTAACAGAATTCTTTATATCTGCATGTCCACCTATATGCAAAACATGGTGTTTATTGTGCAGGTTAATTAGTTCTTTGTTACTTTTCTCCCAAGCAGTCACAGTCCCATTTTTTTCTTTTCTATTACATTTGACTCCTAAGTCACTCTGCAAAGAAAACTTTATGCCTCCTCCCACAATTTTCACATTGAAACAATCTTCACTACCACCATATTTTTCTTTATTTTTTTTCTTACTGTGACTTGACTCTACGGTAAGCATGAACTCATCCAGTTTGAGTTTGAAACCAGTGACTTGTCTTGAACTTTAGAGCTCTATGTTCTAACTGTGTACCATAGAATCTCAATTGGGAATTCTGTTTGCTTCTTTTTGACTAAAATTGACAGGCGTAAAGGAAACAATATTAAATAAGTTGATAAATCTATCCTGCCTCTGTTGTCCTAGTGATTTGTCTTTCTGATGTTATAGTCAAACATTATTAAGGCATATAAAGAACACAGATAAATGGGTTTTAAATATATTTTGTGTAAGATTGATCCTTACCTTTGCTCATATGGAATATTTGAGGTAGCACTGAAACTTTCAGTTACTATGGCTGCAAAGTTACTCTAGAACTTAGCAGCATACAGCAAATACTCATTAGGTTCACAGATTCTGTGGGTCAAGTGTTTAGGTATCCACATCAGTGAAAGATGTCCCTGATTTACAACATCTGTAACCTCAGTTGGTATACACAAACTACCGGGGCCGGAAGAGCTAAAGTCTGAGGGCATCTTTCTCTTTCCTTATATAGGCTTTCCAAGTGATCTCTCCGGTACGGCAACAACTAGAAGCCATATGTTTTCTATCACCTAATTTCATATGCCCTGCCTACAAGCATAGATTCTACCTCTTAATGGACAAGTGTCAACATCATGTTTTAGTAGGTCCCATGGTTTCAGTATCCCCTCCAAAACTCATGTTGAGACTTAATTGTCCACGAGGCATTATTGAGAGGTGTGACCTTTAAGAGATCTTTAAATTGTGTGGGCTTTACCCTCATGAATAGATCAATCCATTCATGGATTAATGATTAACAGGTCTGTGAATTAACAGGTTATCATGAGAGAGGAACTGGTGGCTTTATAAGAAAAGAAAGAGAGACCTGAGTTAGCGTGTTAACACTCTCATCCCCCTTGCCATGTAATGACATGTGCCGTCTTAGATGCTGCAGATAATTTTTACCAAAAAAAGCTCTCTCTAGATGTGCTCAACTTTGGAATTCCTAGCCTCCTTAACTGTAAGAAATACATTCTTTTTCTTATAAATTACCCAGTTTCTATTGTTCTGTTGTAAGCAATAGAAAACAGACTAAGACAGAGGGCTTGAAAGATGAGATATATATTGGAGTGGCCATTGTTGGAAAATACAATCTGCCACGGAAACTAATAATATTATCTGCTTATATGAGCCAGATACTATTCTAGTTCTCCAAAGATTCATCACACTAAAAAAATTATGTATAGTAGTTGTTAATAGCACCTTTTATGATATGGGGAAGCTATGATTTAGAAATGTTAGGAATTTTTTACAATGATCAATTCATTTCTAATGCATTTATTAAGCTATTTGTTTGGTTTATTGGCAGTATTTTAAAAGCCTCTCTATTTGTCACATGCTGTACAAAGTATATAACAGAAACTCAGTCTACAAGAAACTTAAAATATAGTGAAAAAGATAAATTCCCAAAGATTGTTCTTATGAAATGTAATGTACTTTTCATTAAAGAGGTAGACAAGGTACTCTGGATTAACTGGCTAAATTTGTTTTATTTTATTTTATTTTATTTTATTTTATTTTTTGAGATGGAGTCTAGCTCTGTCACCTGGGCTGGAGTACAGTGGTGCAGTCTCTGCTTACTGCAAGCTCCGCCTCCCGGGTTCACACCATTCTCCCCCCTCAGCCTCCCGAGTAGCTGGGACTACAGGTGCCCGCCACCACACCTGACTAATTTTTTTTTTTTTTTGTATTGTTAGTAGAGACAGGGTTTCACTGTGTTAACCAGGATGGTCTCGATCTCCTGACCTTGTGATCCACCCGCCTCAGCCTCCCATTACTGGCTAAATTTAAAAGGTTGAACTGAACTTAGCCAGTTAGAGTAATAGAAAGAAGAACATAAGGAAGGAAGGATAAAAGGTAAGATAGCTCATTCTAAACAGATTGGACCAAATCAGAAAGACTTGGTGGGAGGAAGTAGGAAGCATGTCAAGTTTCAGTAACCCTAAAGTGATATGTACAGCAAGAATGGACAGAAGGGAGCAAGAGAGGAAGACAGTGTTAAGATCTTCAACAGGCAGATGAGGGAGACAGACTTCATCCTGTAGGCTGTTAGGCAGGGAACAGAGGATTTTGAAAGAAGTGTGGTGACATCAGATTTGTAATTCAGACAGATCCCTGTAATTTATATGTGGATAATGAGTTTAAAAGAGAAGGAAATGGGCAGGGGATAGGGAAGAGGCTGGTAGAGCATGTGAGATCAATGTTTGTGCATTTTGGGTATGCATGTGCATGCCTGTATGTGTGTGCATGGGTGTGTGTGTGAGAGATGGGAGATATAAGTGACAGTTATGTAGAACATAGAGGAAACATTGCTGATTCATGGAGACAGAGGTAATTTTAGAAATACATTTCTACCTACTCTGTGATAAGGACTGTGTTGTTTGAGCCAGGGCACAGTGGTGAGCTCAACAGGAGCACTGAGAGAAGCTTGGCATAAGTCCATCAAATCCTGTTCTACAAGGTGAAGAGGACAGACATCAGTAGACTGAGAGACTAGAAAATGAGAAGAGAATGTCATGAATACTGACACTTCTTTTGTATAAAAGGCAATGCCTTATGTCTGTGGGTCTGTGAAGAACTGCCTCAAAAATTGGCACATTATGAGAGGCTATAAATCTGCCACCGACACCCACCCTCCCAGAGTGAGAAGTGTCTTGACTGTTAACTCTCTGGCACTTCTAGTTTGCCCTACAAGGGGGCAGATCACATTTCAGTTGCAGATTTGCCTGTATGCAATATCTCTGGAAGGTGCTGGCATTCCTGACAACTTCAGCAGGTGACCCTGTGGAAGGCTGCAAGGCTGGAGGCACAGAAGCAACCATGTCTGACTTAGATGGAGAAGGCTAGGGCAACTGCTACTCAGGTGTTCAAGAGGACATTTTTAAAAAAATAACTTGTTTGTGTGGGTTTGTCTTTTAGGAGAAATAAAAGAAAAAAAAGGTGTCTAAAGTGAGAAAAGTGCCTGAACTCTTTCTCGGTAGACAGGGTCTCAGATATGAGTAGGCTTGGATTTAGGATGCTGGGGCTAGGGAAAGAAGTGATTGAGCTGGCCCAGAAAACTGGAGCAAAAAATCAGGTGGAATTTAATATATAAGGTCTAGGGGCAAAGACTTTATAAATTAAGCTTTAATACAAAGGTACAGAAGAGAATAAGGGGGAAAACCTGATACAAGAGTGTAACCGGGGAAAACACATTAAAGCAAACCACTTCTGCAGAGAAGAGAGAATGGAGACAGTGACGAGGGAGGTCCTACAAGGTCATGGGCACAATCAGGAAGGCATTTACCATTTTCCTTTAAAGACTCTGTACTAAGAGTCTTTTACAACTCTGGTTGTAAATACAACATATACTCCTATCAATAAATCAAGTAATTCAAAACAGTTCTGTTGTTTAACTTGTTCCTCTGGGAGACGCATGTAAATTTAGATTCATTTTCAATTTTGTAGGCAAAGACATTATTGGGGATGCTGCATACTTCCTATTGCATCATATAATGAGGCTTGTAATGCTTTAGAAGGGAAATACTCTGATGTGTCTCTTGTCCCTCTCCTTGTTACATTGTATTACTTATAATGTAAGAATTACCACAACAATCTTCCTCATCATTTACATAAACTCCCAGTGGGATTCTGAGTCATTCAGCTTGGAATTTACATTTAAAATTTGGGAGTTATGCCATGTTGAATTTTTTATCAGCATTTGTATTTTACCACATATTTTTATGAGAAAAGATTATTGAGTGTAATATCATAGCATGTCATCTGTTGAGAAGGCCTTTTTCCTTTTACCTCTTAATATGATGTGTTCTAATAAAATAATTCCTAAAATTGAAGCATCAAAAGTTATCCTGATTTGAACATAATGCATCATGATTATAATTTTTATTTTTATTTATTTATTTTTCTGACATGGAGTCTCACTCTGTTGCCCAGGCTGGAGTGCAGTGGCACAATCTTGGCTCACTGCAAGCTCTGCCTCCCAGGTTCACACCATTCTCCTGCCTCAGCCTCCCGAGTAGCTGGGACTACAGGTGCCCACCACCACACCCGGCTAAGTTTTTGTATTTTTAGTAGAGATGGGGTTTCACCATGTTAGCCAGGATGGTCTCAATCTCTTGACCTTGTGGTCCACCCACCTCAGCCTCCCAAAGTGCTGGGATTACAGGCGTGAGTCACTGTGCCTGGCCTCATGATTATAATTTTAAGAATGTATTCTGCTATTATTTTAATGTAATGCATGCCAGCACTTCTATGACTTTTTCTGGTTTTATTTATAGTTCCCTATGTAATACAATGAGGTTTTGTAAAAATATTCCAGATCTTTATTTTTATTTGCCATATAACAATTTCAATAAAGGAATTATCTGCTTATTTGGAAATCTGAGACAATTTCCTGCTAAATTTATGCTATCTGGAATTTATTTTAGTAGGTTTTTAATGAATACAATACTGTTTTATTTTCTTAAGATTATTCATCTACTATTTTGCTATGTCTTCTCAAACTAGTAAGTGTGATTCATTGTGGGCTATAGAGGTGCTGAATATTTAAGAAGAAAACAACTCGCATTCAAATAATGCATTTAGAGAAAGGTAAGGAAAAATTTCACAGAAGGACATGGTGAGGGTGAGTGCATTTTCCAGGAAGAGTTGAAAGAAGATCTGTAAGAAAACAAAATAAAACATATTTTTCTCCTTAGTTTTGAGCAGGAATAATCAGGTATACCAGTAAATCAAGATAGAGACCAGAAATAGAACAAGGATATATGTGATTATGTCATTTCCACAGGAAATGGTGTAAAATCAAGATAGAGACCTAAAATAGAGCAAAGATACGTGTGACTATGTCATTTCCACAAGAAACGGTATAATGTTCTCCATCCTTCTGCCCTCCACTGCAGCCCCAAGCCCTCTACAATATGACATTTCCTAAATATTGGCACTGCATTGAAGACTCAGGTCAAGTTTTCTTTCACACAGTCTGGCAACATTGTATTGCTCTGTTGAATAGATAAATTTTAGATAGCTCTTTGCTTGATTATTTTATCTGAAAAAATGTTTACTTCCATTTGAGTTGATTTCTGAAAGGGAGGTTGGGAATCCAGCCTTTTATGCCACCTTTCACAAACTGGAGGGCAATCTTTTTATAGAGCTTGTAACCCTTGGCCGTGAAGGCAGGAAGCTCTCAAGTAGGCTTAGGAAGTAATGAGCGTATAGGTGAGAGATGGGCAGGAACAAAGAAATGAACTCTCATGAGTCCAGATGGCATGGGGTGAAGGGCTAAGTGGAGAGACAGGATTAGAGTTTTAGATGGTAAATATGATGCTTCTCCATTTTTTTCTGGAAAAATTTTTAATTTTTCCCATTTGATTTTGGATATCCTCTTCTATGTGGGTGGGGCAATATAGATGATCACTGTTAATGTCCTCAATTTTCTACAAAGTTGTAAGAAAGTAGTCTATTTAGAGTGAATGGAGACAGATTGGAGGTGCAGTGCTAAGATTTTAGAAAGTATTGAGAATATTGGGGAAAAAAAACCAATGAGCAGAATAATTTCAAGAATTGTCAAGAAAAGCTAAAAGCTCTCCTGAATTTGGAGACATTTAATTCATAGCAGTTCCAATTTATCTATTTCTTTTTTTTTGTTTACTTGTTTTTGTTTCTTTGTTGTTTTCACTTTTGGTATTAGTTCAATGAGTTGATATTGGTAAAGAGAGAAAAAAGTGGTTTTGAAGAAATGAATTTACAAAGTTAGAAAGCACCCAAGGAAAAAGTTACTTTTTTGGTACCTGATATGGTTTGGCTCTGTGTCCCCACCTAAATCTCATCTTGTAACTCCCATAATTCCCACATGTTGTGGGAGCCACCTAGTGGGAGATTAAATTATGGAGGTAGGTCTTTCTTGTGCCGTTCTTACGATAGTAAATGGGTCTCACCAGATCTTATGGTTTTAAAAAATGAGAGTTGTCCTACACAAGCTATCTCTTTGCCTGCCACCATCCATGTAATTAATATGTGACTTGTTCCTCCTTGCCTTCCACAATGATTGTGAGTCTTCCCCAGCCATGTGGAATTGTGAGTCCCATTAAACCTCTTTCTTTTGTAAATTGCCCAGTCTCGGGTATGTCTTTATCAGCAGCATGAAAACAGACTAATACAGTAAATTGGTACTGGGAGTGGGGCATTGCTGAAAAGATGCCTGAAAATGTGGAAGCAGCTTTGGAACTGGATAACAGGCAGAGGTTGGAACACTTTGGAGGGCTCAGAAGAAAGAAAAATGTGGGAAAGTTTGGAACTGCCTAGAGACTCGTTGACTGGCTTTGACAAAAATGCTGATAGTGATATGAACAATAATGTCCAGGCTGAGGTGGTGTCAGATGGAGATGAGGAACTTGTTGGGAACTGGAGCAAAGGTGACGCTTGTTATTTTTAGCAAAGAAACTGGCCGCATTTTGCCTGTGCCCTAGAGATTTGTGGAACTTTGAACTTGAGAGAGATGACTTAGGGTATCTGGCGAAAGAAATTTCTAAACAGCAAAGCTTTCAAAAGGTGACTTGGGTACTGGTAAAGGCATTCAGTTTTAAAATGGAAAGAGAGCATAAGTTTGGAAAATTTTCAGTTTGACAATGTGATAGAAAAGAAAATCCCATTTTCTGAGAAGAAATTCAAGTGGGATGCAGAAATTTGCGTAAGTAATGAGGAGCAGGATGTTAATCACCAAGAAAATAGGGAAAATGTCTCCAGGGCATGTCAGAGACCTTCGCAGCAGCCCCTCCCATCACAGGCCCAGAGTTTTAAAAGGAAAAAGTGGTTTCATGGGCCAGGCCCAGGGTCCCTGTGCTGTGTGCAGCCTACGGACTTGGTGCCCTGTGTCCCAGCTGCTCCAGCCATGGCTGAAGGGGGCCAACACAGAGCTCAATCTGTGGCTTCAGAGGGTGCAAGCCTCAAACCTTGGCAGCTTTTACACAATGTTGAATCTGTGCATGAACAGAAGTCAGGAATTGAGGTTTGGAAACCCCCACCTAGATTTCAGAAGATGTATGAAAATGCCTGGATGCCCAGGCAGAGGTTTGCTGTAGGGGCAGGGTCCTCATGGAGAACCTCTGCTAGAGCAGTGCAGAAGAGAAATGTGGGGTTGGAGCCCCCCGCCCCCAGAGTTCCTACTGGGGCACTGCCTAGTGGAGCTGTGAGAAGAGGGCCACCACACTCCAGGCCCCGGAATGGTAGACCAACTGACACCTTGCACCATGTGCCTAGAAAAGCTGCAGACACTCAACCCCAGCTCATGAGCTGCCCAATACTATGGGAACCAACCTCTTGCATCAGCGTGACCTGGGTGTGAGACATGGAATCAAAAAAGATCATTTTGGAACTTTAAGATTTGACAGCCTGCTGGATTTCAGACTTGCATGGGGCCTACAGCCCCTTTGTTTTGGCCAATTTCTCCCATGTGGAATGGCCATATTTACCCAATGCCTGTATCCCCATTGTATTTATGAAGTAACTAATTTGCTTTTGATTTTCTAGGCTCATAGGTGGAAGGGACTTACCTCGTCTTGGATGAGACTTTGGAGTGCGGACTTTTGAGTTAATGACTTTGAGGGACTGTTGGGAAGGCATGATTGGTTTTCAAATGTGAAGATATGAGATTTGGGAGGGGCCAGGGTTGGAATGATATGGTTTGGCTCTGTGTCCCCACCCAAATCTCGTCTTATAGCTCCCATGATTCCCACATTTGTGAGAGACCTGGTGGGAGATGATTGAATTAAGGAGGTGGGTCTTTGCCATGCTGTTCTCGTGATATGAATGGGCCTAATGAGAAGTGATAGTTTTAAAACATGGAAGTTGCCCTGAACAAGCACTGTCTTTGTCTGCCACATTCTGCATGAGATGTGATTTGCTTCTCCTTGCCTTCTGCTGTGATTGTGAGGTGTCCTCAGCCACGTGGAACTCTGAGTCCAATTAAACCTATCTCTTTTTAAATTTCCCAGTCTTGCGTATGTCTTTATCAGCAGTGTGAAACAGACTAATACAGTACCCTTACACAGAAGAGATATTAGGGAAGCTTTTGCTGCTGCTGTTGCTGCCACAACCTCCATCATCATCATCACTTTTGCTATTAATATATTATCATTGTTGTTTTGTTTTGCTTCTTAATGAATAAGAATTATATGAAACATACCCTATTATTTTACAATTACATGACTAAAAAGTACAATTGAATACGTTTCTTTTTTCTGTCATTTTCTGGTTCCATAAGTCTAAGTTACTGGATAAAGGCACATTGCTAGAAAGCCCCAAAGCCAGGATTCAAATTCCATATATTTTTTTTTTTTCACTACACCAGGGTATCTGATCACTTATTTTTCAAGAGTCCTAGATCCTTACAGGTCTCTCAGAGACTTGCAGAACTATTTCTAACAAAGAAAAAATTTTATAAATCAGGACATTCCAATGTGTATATGAGTTGCAATGAGTCAACCCATGTGATAGTTCCTCATTGTTACTATTATTATTGATGAATCTTGTTATTATAAATATTATATATATGAAAATGCAAGCATATTTTGTTCACACAGGAGATTAATACAAAGGCATTTTCTCACTTAATAATGTTATTTGAAGTTTTTTATATATAAACATATATCGATTTGCTCCATTTATTTTAAGAACTGCATAGAAACCTACCATATGGTAATACAATGACTAATTTGTTGATTATTCTTTCCTTCTTGAAACACTCTCTACTCCAGACTTTCACGACACTTCTGACTAATTCTTCTTAACCTACTGTCATGTCTGCAATTCTACTTAATATTGAATCAGCCTTGGATAATTGTTCCCTGTCTTCCTCTATCTATACCCTCTTCCTGAATAATACCCAGTAAACCAATGGCTTTAGATATCACTTCTTATCCAAATGACTTCCAAAATTCTATTTCCAATGTTAGCATCTATATTGAGCTCCATACTACACATCAGAATGTACTTGAAATCTCAAAATTTTCACAGTCCAAACAGAACTCTGCTGAAAACTCCCAATAACAACATTCTGTCTCATGACAGTATATGATAGCATTATGTACCTTGTTACTCAAATACAAACTTAAGGCTCCAATGTTTTGTCATTGCCTCACCTCCCTCGGCCCATATCCAATTAATCTGCAAGTGCCATTAGGTTTTCCTCAAAATGTATTCTAAATCTATCTACCTTATTGACTGTCTCTATAATTAAAGCCACTGTCACTTCTCACCTATACTATAGTTGTAGACATAATTTCCTTCCTTTCTCTCTATTCACAATCTAATCTATATACTGCACATAAACAAATATTTTAAAATGTAAAACAGAGTAAATATTCTCCCAGTTTTACAATTCCAGTGTCTTTCCATTGTGCCTAGAATACAATTCTGACTCCTGGCCATGACCTAAGTGGCCCTATCTGAGTCAACCTTTACCTTTTTAGTCTGATTTCATAAAACTTTATCCCTGTACCATAACTGGCTTGGCCAACCACAATTGCCTTCTTTCTCTAAACCAAGGAGGGTTAAAAACGACATTTCCTGGATTTCCTTCCGGCTGTGTTTCTGGATGAATATCAGGAATGCTAATCAGATGTACTTGTGCAAACATTTGGGAGGTAGTGTGACAGTAGGTAGGCATCTTCTTGCCAACTTGGCCTCTTCCTTCTGTCAAGCAAATTTGAGAATTCAAAGCATTCTCACAGCCATGTTCAAGTGTCCATTCTCCAATTTCCTGGATGTTGAGAGGCAGATGTGGGGGAGGCAGTGGCTAAATTTCTTTTTTCAGTGTCTGTTTACCACCCTTCTGAATGTGGAGCATTGGCACCTGTGTAACTTACCCTGACTCGCTGCATAATAGCTTTGGCAGCATGTGCTGAAACTCAGCAAATCCAGTGGTAATCTCAAAACTCATAGCTCCCCTTGCAGGCCAAGTCACTGGTAGCCATTTCTAGAAAGCCAGATTAGAGCCTACTCCTCTAAAATTTTTAAAACCCTTAATTTTCCTTAAAATCTCAGTTCTGTTTGAAAGACCTAGCTTGTTTATTTTTTACCAGGGTAGAAAACTTACTGAAACCAACATTAACTATTCTTTATTAGATCAACTGGCTCTGATCTTGAACAGCTTACCCTCAAACATTGCAGAGACTCCTTCATGGTATCCTTTAGCTTTCAGCTGAATTATCATCTTCTCAGAAGAGTTTTCCGTGAACACCCAATCAAAACTATTCACGCATTACATAGCTTTCATATTGCCTTATTTATTGCATTTACAAAATTTACCATTATAAAATATGTATTTTTTAAACACTTAGCCTGGGTACCTTATAAACAGCAGAAATTTATTTCTCACAATTCTAAAGGATGGGAAGTCCAAAATCAGGACAGTGACAGTAATTGGCGAGGGCCTGCTTCCTCATAGAGAGTGCTGTCTAGCTGTGTTCTCACATAGTGGATGGAGTGCGCAAAGCAGCTCTCTGGAGCTTCCATTATAAAGGCACTAATCTCATTCATGAGGGCTGCACCCTCATGACCCGCCGAAGGGCCCCACCTCCTCACCATCACCTTGAGGGTTAGGATTTCAACATATAAATTTTGGGACACAAACATTCAGACCTTACCAGCATCCTTACCAAGAGCATCTTTGCATAATGGTATAAATATATATCTACAAGGTAGCAGTCTAGAAGTAAGATTTGGGGGGTAAAAGAGCACATATACTTTAAATTTTAGTATTTATTACCAAATTTCTTTCAACTATGTTACATTAGTTTCCACTGCAAGGAATAATATATGAGTATCCATTTAACCAACATGAGCCACAAAATAAATAATATCAAAATTTTACATCATTGAGAACCTGAAAGACAAAAGGGTTTTCATTAATTATATTTTCTTATCTTTTAAATTATAAGTTAGGTTAAGGATTTATGCTGATTAACATTTTGTAGTTATCTTTATAATTAGATGTGGATCACTCATTTTCTATATTTTTGTGTGAACTCTTTGTTCATTAAGACAATTAATGTTTGTCACATATGTTGCAATTTTTTAAATCTTTTGATTTTGCTTTGGATAACCTTTTTCCTTGTGGGTGCTCTTATATTTTTTAGGCATTAAATTTATTACTTTTCTTTTTGTGGGTTTTGTTTGAATTATTATGCTTCACAACAGTATTTTTTTGGTAGATTTTCTGTGTTTATTTTTTATCGTGGGAATTTCAGCCATTTGACAAATTTGTAGAAAGACACAGCTGTGTGCTTTTGAGGGTAATATTTTTGCTTGATTATGTAAAGGGAGCCATTCTAGCATAAAGTTCAGATCAACTTTAAATAAGTTCCTATTTTCTCTGACTTTATTTCTCCTTTTCTTGTCCTTCCACTTTTATTATGTGCAAATGACTATTTGTTTATATTATTTAAAGCTTAGCTGTGAGAAATAATCAAAATAACAGTAGCATAAACAATATGAAAATCTATAGGCAATCAAGAGCTAGTTTGTACTCTATTCTATTCTATTCTGTTCTATTCTATTCTATGAACTCGGGCACTCAGGCTCTTTTCAGTTCTTTTTTTCTTTTAAAAATATAATTAGGGTGATCTTTGGATCACTCATGTGGACTAAGTTGTAGACAGATATCTATGTCGTGGGAACTAGAATGGAGAAAAGCATAGCTAAGAAGGGCCTGGGGCTGAATATTAGCACCCTTTCTCAAGGAACACTTGGAAAGCTTCTGCAGAACATTTCTGCTTTAGATAGCATTAGGCAGAATTTAGTAATGTGTCCACATTGAATGAGACAATTCTAGAAATTGTGTAATCTCAGTGACCATTTTACCTGCAATAAATGAAAAAAAATAAAAATAGTTAATGTTGTCTGACAAATTAATTGTCTTCCTCATTTTTAAAATTTTTTTTTCTACGAAGCTATTCTAGGTTTTCTGATTTTCCCCTCAAAGGCCCAGGAGATATTTATTGAGAATAATGTATTTTTTTTATTTATTTAAGCATATTTGTCAAATTTAAGGGCAGTCAACACAGATGAAAGGGCCAGAATTAACTAGTATAATAAGAAGCTCATTTTTAATCTGAGTATATATATCAACCACCTGCTTCCCAAGACAACTCTAGAATACAACTGGTAAGATACCTAATAATTGAAACAAATTAATAAACTGTTTGGAAAAAAGGATATCCTATAATATACTATGATCCAATTTAATGTTGTAACAAATTGAAATTACAGCTTTCATATGACTTGCTTAATTGTATTGATAACATTTTGATATGGCTATAATTTATGGGCACTATCACATTTATTTCAAAAAGTAAGATAAAATGTAAACAGCTTGTTTTGTTCCCTAAAATTTACACATAAACTTAAAAACAATTTTAAAGTAGAACTACTAAACATACTTTTCTATGTTGTTGGGAAATCACAAATTCTCTCAGCCTCAGTTGCTTCACTTATATCATGGGAACATTTCACTTTAAATCCTTGAATATTTGCTTTACAACTGGATTATCTTTTACATTCCTTCCAGTAATAAACCTTTTGTTTCTGTGGTTTATGAATTACATTTAGGTATAATTTTCTGTAAGCACTTTTGCTAATGTTAATATAAAACGACTACGCAATTTATTGTAACTCAATTTTCAATTTTCCCAACTGAATGAGGCAAATAATTGAATGTTTACAAATATTTTCATTTTGCATTCTATAACTGTGCTAAATATTCACCTGTAGTATCCTAATTAGAAGATATTATTTCAGGAACTGATACTACAGGTTTAAAAATAATTACCGCTATTCTTGTGTCTCACTTATTCAGTTTATAAAATATTCAAAGGCATTTGATCACATAGAATTATATTCTGCCAAACTTGTGCTTCTCAGAAACTCACTTGGAGACAAATAAATATTATTTCTAAGATAGGTGTAGTTTGAGTTTTACCATTTGCTAACAATTTACCCAGCGTTAAAATGGGGATCTACCTCAGGGCTACCGCACTGAAAGAAGAGGAAATCTATCTGTACCGTCTTGATTGTCCTGGTCTGTGTTAAACATCTCTTGAGTGTGGAATGATAAGATTGTTACTTGCTCACAGAGTTTACGAGGGAACAAACAGGTTATTCTCAGGGATCTATTAACATCCTTCCTTTTTCAGAGTTTGGGCCTCTAATAATGAGGATATCTGGGGAAAACTACAGGAAGGTCCTGATGCCTGGCTGTAACTTCCTTATCATTATTTTATTATCCTTTTGAGATTTTAGATCATTTCTCACTGTCTTTTCACACATAAGTTAATTTAGTGTGCTTTAAGTATAAATAACTGTCAGTTACATGGTAGCAATGAATAAACTATCTTAGAGACTCAGATTTCCATATGTCAGTGTCAAACAATACACAGTTCAAGATTATAGATATTTATGTTTCCAAAATGCTTTGTAAAGTTATTTTAGATGTAAGCATTAAGTAATAAAAAACAAATTAAAATAAACTATTATTGTAGATCAGTGTCATATAAGTCATTGAAATGTGATTTCTGATTTCATGCAACTTTGACATATAATATTTCAAAAATAACCTTGTTCTGAATGCTGAACTCAAAAATAGTGAAAACATAAAATAATCTCTAAGAGAGGTTATTTTTCTTCTTTCTTTGCCTTCTCCCCAGTATTCAGTTTATCAGCAAGTCATTCTGACCAGAAAATACAGATTTTCTGACTTCTAAGTTTGTCAGACTCATTTTATTTGTGAAGCCTTCGCAAGTGTAAAGTCAAATTTTTTAAATGTGTAAATGTTTGCTAAAACCAGAAACACCAGGATATAGAGAAATAGAGTAAAATATAACTTGCTGGAAATAAGAAGTGAGGCATAATATCAAGCAAGAACCAGGAAATACTTCCATGAGTACCTAAGGAAATGCAGTACAAATAAGCTATGTTTTACTCAAAGGTAGTAGAGCACTGAAAGGTAACCAAGTGAACAACACGATACTTAAGCAAGATATTTATGATATTCTCTGAACTGATTTTTCAAACAGTTGTTTACATTGTAATTCCTTTCAGTTTGACACACAAAATTCCATTATTCCAATGTGCATCTCAAGCACTTAAAGGTTGAGTACTGGTATTCTATAAGCATGAAATCTAATTGGAGAACCAGTAAATATTTTAGCAACAATACAAAGCATTGGTTTTAAGTTGCAAAGTGAAAGATACCAATTGAAGCTGGAAATGTAGAAAAAGGCAGATCAATGTAGGTTGCTCTTATTTTGTTTGTTCTTCAAAATACTGTAGTGTAGTGATAATTGAATACATTTTTAAAGAATTGATTAATATGAAAACATTTTTATTGGTAACAATGAGAATAAAAGGTATTTCTGTGTAGAATAACGTGGCAAAGCCTTGGTTTTAAGACTCGGAGTCACACTGGATGGCAGTGAATATACGCATGATTTAATATAAACAAAAGTGAAAGCACAGAACCAGATGCCATGTTAAGAGACAAGACTAGCTGGATTTCCTGTGCCAACTAAGAATTCCTAAGCCTATCTGGGGAAGGTGACCTCACCTACCTTTAAACATGGGGCTTGTAACTCAGATCACATCCGACCAATCAGGTAGTAAAGAGGGCTCACTAAAATACAAATTAGGCTAAAATCAGGAGGTGAAGAAATAGTCAAATTGAGAGGTGACAGCATGCTGGCAGTCCTCACAGCCCTCGCTTGCTCTCGGCGCCTCCTCTGCCTGGGCTGCCACTTTGGTGGCACTTGAGAAGCCCTTCAGCCCACCACTGCACTATGGGAGCCCCTTTCTGGGCTGGCCAAGGCCAGAGCCGGCTCCCTCAGCTTGCAGGGAGGTGTGGAGGGAGAGGCACCAGTGGGAACCGGGACTGCGTGCAGCGCTTGCGGGCCAGCTGGAGTTCCGGGTGGGCGTGGGCTTGGCTGGCCCCGCACTCGGAGCAGCCGGCCGGCCCTGCCGGTGCCGGGCAGTGAGGGACTTGGCACCCGGGCCAGCGGCTGCGGAGGGCGTACCGGGTCCCCCAGCAGTGCCCGCCCACCGGCGCTGTGCTCAATTTCTCGCCGGGCCTTAGCTGCCTTCCCGCGGGGCAGGCCTTCCCGCGGGGAAGGCATGCAGGGCGCCATGCCTGAGCCTTCCCCCACCTCCGTGGGCTTCTGTGCAGCCCTAGCCTCCCCGACGAGCACTGTCCCCTGCTCCAGGGTGCCCAGTCCCATCCACCACCCAAGGGCTGAGGAGTGCGAGCGCATGGCACAGGACTGGCAGGCAGCTCCACCTGCAGCCCCGGTTTGGGATCCACTGGGTGAAGCCAGCTGGGCTCCTGAGTCTGGTGGAGCCTTGGAGAACCTTTATGTCTAGCTCAGGGATTGTAAATACACCAATCAGCACCCTGTGTTTAGCTCAGGGTTTGTGAGTGCACCAATCGACACTCTGTATCTAGCTGCTCTGGTAGGGCCTTGGAGAACCTTTGTGTGGATACTCTGTATCTAACTAATCTGATGGGGACGTGGAGAACCTTTGTATCTAGCTCAGGGATTGTAAATGCACCAATCAGTGCCCTGTCAAAACAGACCACTGGGCTCTACCAATCAGCAGGACGTGGGTGGGGCCGGATAAGAGAATAAAAGCAGGCTGCCCTAGCCAGCAGTGGCAATCTGCTTGGGTCCTCTTCCACAGTGTGGACGCTTTGTTCTTTTGCTCTTTGCGATAAATCTTGCTATTGCTCACTCTTTGGGTCCACATGGCTTTTAAGAGCTGTAACACTCACCACGAAGATCTGCAGCTTCACTCCTGAGCCAAGCGAGACCAGGAGCCCACCGGGAGGAACGAACAACTCCAGACGTGCTGCCTTAAGAGCTGTAACACTCACCGCGAAGGTCTGCAGCTTCACTCCTGAGCCAGCGAGACCACGAACCCACCAGAAGGAAGAAACTCTCAACACATCTGAACATCAGAAGGAACAAACTCCAGACGCGCCACCTTAAGAGCTGTAACACTCACCGCGACGGTCCGCAGCTTCATTCTCGAAGTCAGTGAGACCAAGAACCCACCAATTCCGGACACAAAATGATATATCGGCTGAGAGCACAGTGGGAGGGACAATGATCGTGATATAAACCCAGGCATTCGAGCAGGGAGCTGCAATCCCCTTTG
This sequence comes from Homo sapiens, assembly GCF_000001405.40. Taxonomy (NCBI): domain Eukaryota; kingdom Metazoa; phylum Chordata; class Mammalia; order Primates; family Hominidae; genus Homo; species Homo sapiens. The sequence goes on from NC_000002.12 coordinate 52,008,104, forward strand.
GGTCTCCTCCCCTTGTGTGGGAGCTCTGGTTTAACTCTATTAAATCTTGCAACTGCACACTCTTCTGGTCCATGTTTGTTAAGGCTCAAGCTGAGCTTTCACTCATTGTCCACCACTGCTCTTTGCTGCCATTGCCGACCGGCGGTTGACTTCCACCCCTCCAGATCTGGCAGGGTGTCCACTGTGCTGCTGATCCAGCGTGGTGCCCATTGCTGCTCCCGATTGGGCTAAAGGCTCACCATTGTTCCTGCACGGCTAAGTGCCCAAGTTCATCCTAATCGAGCTGAACACTAGTCACTGGGTTCCACGGTTCTCTACCGTGATCCATGGCTTCTAATAGAGCTGTAACACCGCATGGCCCAAGGTTCCATTCTTTGGAATCCGTGAGGCCAAGAACCCCAAGTCAGAGAACAAAAGACTTGCTGCCATCT